>NC_000012.12:31665504-31818199 GCF_000001405.40 Homo sapiens | reverse complement strand
TTTTTCTGGTAGATATCCTGGCTTACATAGTTTCTTATGAGTTTGGTTATCATGAATTCTTTGGTTATCCTGGTATTCATGGAATCTCATCAATTCTGGATTCATTCACAATTTTGAATTTTCACGCCTGAGAACTGGGGACCAGACTATAAGTTGATAACTCTTAACATTTTCACCTCTGAGCCCTTGCCCAAGTAGCCAAATGATCTCAAGATATGTCTGTTTCAGTTAGCCTTTGTTGTATAACAAATCACCTCTAGCCGGGTGCAGTGGCTCATGCCTGTAATCCCAACACTTTGGGAGGCCGTGGCAGGTGGATCACAGGGTCAGGAGTTCAAGACCAGCCTGGCCAACATGGTGAAACCCTGTCTCTACTAAAAATATAAAAAAAAATTAGCTGGGCCTGGTGGCGGATGCCTGTAATCTCAGCTACCCAGGAGGCTGAGGCAGAGAATTGCTTGAACCCAGGAGATGGAGGTTGCAGTGAGACGAGATCGCGCCACTGCACTCCAGCCTGGGCGACAGAGTGACACCATCTCAAAAACAAAACAAAACAAAACAAAAAAACAAAAAAAACAAATCACCTCTAAAATTAGTAGCCTATAATGGCATCTGTTTATTGTTCATATTTCTGTGGGTTGAAATTTGGACTGGAATCAGCTGAGTGGTGCTTCTGCTGATCTCCCCTGGAACCACTTGACTTGTCATCTCTCTAAGATGGTCTTTTGTTTACATACGTAGCACTTGGTGCTATCAACTTGTATACTTCAGGCCGTGGCCTCATCTTTAATACGCTATACTGAGCTTCTTTATACAATAGTCTCAGGGCAGAATTCTAAGAGCAAGAGCAGAAGCCAGAAGACCTTTTCAAAATGAAATTCAGAAGTCATCACTTCTCCATTTTATTGGTCAAAGTCACAAGACCAGCCCAAGATTCAAGAGGTGGGTAAATAGACTTCACCTCTTTTCAGGAGGGGATACAAATAATCTGTAGCTTTATTTATTTACTTATGCGACAGAGTCTTACTCTGTTGCCCAGGCTGGAGTGCAGTGGCGTGATCTCAGCTCACTGCAACCTCCACCTCCTGGGTTCAAGCGATTCTCCCACCTCAGCCTCCCAAGCTGGGATTAGCCCGCCACCATGCCTAGCTAACTTTTGTATTTTTAGTAGAGACGGGGTTTCACCATGTTGACCAGGCTGGTCTCAAACTCCTGTCCTTAGGTGACCTGCCCACCTCGGCCACCCAAAGTGTTGGGATTACAGACGTGAGCCACCTTGCCCAGCTCCCTGTAGCTATATTTAATTACCCACAACTTGTAACACCGATTCACAATAGTCCCAATAATGTTCTTTATAGAAAAAGAAGATTCTCTGGTCTGGGATCCAATCTAGGTTCACACAGTACATTTAGTTGTCATGTCTCTTTGGTCTCAATCTGTAACAATTCCTTAGTTTTTCTTTGTCTTTCATGATGTTGACAGTTTAAAATTTTGTCTTTTGGATTATGTGATGTTTTGAATTTTGTAACATGTCCCTCAATTTGGCTTTGTTGGATATTTCCTTGTGATTAGATTCAGATTTTGCATTTTTGGCAAAAAACTATATAAGAGCTATTATGACCATCTCATTGCAGTACAGCAGGAGAAAATGATGTCAGCTTGCCCCATTATTGGTGGTATTAACTTTGATTAACTGTTTTCACTGTCACATTACTATTTTTCTTTTGTAATTAATTAGTGGTAATTAATTGTGTTATGATAAGATGCTCCTTATCAAACTTTCACTGACTAGTTGTAGTATCAATTAATTACATTTAAAAATTTAAAGAAGGGCCGGGTGTGGTGGCTCACGCCTGCACTCCATCCTGGGCGACAAGAGCAAGACTCTGTCTCAAAAAAAAAAAAAAAATTTAAAGAAGAAACATTGTTTTAAACTTAGATTCAAACATCAGTTTGCTACTTATCAGCTGTGTGACCTTAGGGCAACTCACCAGATGGCTCTGAGCCTCAGTTTCCTCATGTGTAGATTGTAGATAATAATATTTTTCTCATAAAATTGATGTGGGTAATACATATAAAGTACTTAGCAGAGCGATTACCATTTATTTTATTTCACTAGTTTTTACGGAAATTCTTTAAATTTTAGTAGTGTGTAGGAAGAGATCATCTTTGTCCTAATAGAGATTATACTCTAGTCTAGAGTAGAGGTGAGCAAACTTTTTCTGTAAAGAGCAGATGGTGGCTGGGCACCGTGGCTCACGCCTGTAATCCCAGCACTTTGGGAGGCTGAGGCCGGCAGATCACCTGAGGTCAGCAGTTCAAGACCAACCTGGCCAACATAGCAAAGCCCCATGTCTACTAAAAATACAAACATTAGCTGGGCGTGGTGGTGCATATCTGTAATCTCAGCTATTCAGGAGGCTGAGGCATGAGAATCACTTGAACCCAGGAGGCGGAGGTTGCAGTGAGCTGAGACTGCACCACTGCACTCCAGCCTGGGCAAAAAGAGCGAAATTCCATCTCAAAAAAAAAAAAAAAAGCAGACGGTAAATATTTTAGGAGCCAAATGGGCAATACATAAATGAATGCATTTTACTGTATTCCAAAAACTTTATTTATAAAACAAGTGGTAGGCTGGACTTGGCCCATGGGCTGGAGTTTGCTGATCTCTGGTCTAGAGCAAACAGACCAACAAGAAAATATAATTACAAACAAACAAAAAACCCAGCCAAACAAAAATAAATAAAAATAATTACAAATCATAAGTGTTCTGAAGGGAAAAGATAGGTTTTAGGGGATTATATAACAGTGACCTCACCTTGTCTAGAATGTCAGGAGTAGCAACGCTAAAGCAGTAGCATTTACACTGAGACCTAGAAAGCAGGTAGTCATTAACTAAATATGTGGTGGCAGGGAGCTTATCAGGCAGAGCAAATAGCATATTCTAAGGAAATGAGGGAGAAAGTTACATAACTTTTTCTTTCTTTTTTTTTTTTGAGACAGGGTCTCATTCTGTTGTCCAGGCTGGAGGGCAGTGGTGCAATCATGGTCAGCTGGAGCCTTAAACTCCTGGGCTCAAGCAATCCTCCTACCTCAACCTCCTGAGTAGCTGGGACCACAGGCGTTCTCCATCATGTCCAGCTATTTTTGTATTTTTTTGTAGAGATGGAGCTCTCACTATGTTGCCCAGGCTTGTCTTGAACTCCTGGACTCAAGTGAGCCTCCTGCTTCACCCTCCCAAAATGCTGGGATTACAGACATAAGCCACAGCACCAGCTGAACTTTTTTTTCTGAGACGGAGTCTTGCTCTGTTGCCAGGTTGGAGTGCAGTGGCAAGATCTCGGCTCACTGCAACCTCTGTCTCCTGGGTTCAAGCGATCTCCTGCCTCCGCCTCCCAGGTAGCTGGGACTACAGGCGCATGCCACCACGCCCAGCTAATTTTTATATTTTTAGTAGAGACGGGGTTTCACCGTGTTGGCCAGGATTGTCTCAATCTCTTGACCTTGTGATCCACCCGCCTCAGCCTTCCAAAGTGCTGGGATTACAGGTGTGAGCCACCGCACCTGGCCAGCTTTGAATTCTTAAAAAATGTTCAGCTGAGGCCAGACACGGTGGCTCACACCTGTGATCCCAGCACTTTGGGAGGCCGAGGCTGGTGGATCACAAGGTCAGGAGATCAAGACATCCTGGCTAACACGGTGAAACGTCGTCTCTACCAAAAATACAAAAAAATAGCCAGGCATGGTGGCGGGCGCCTGTAATCCCAGCTACTCAGGAGGCTGAGGCAAGAGAATCGCTTGAACCCGGGATGCGGAGATTGCAGTGAGCCGAGATGGCGCTACTGCACTCCAGCCTGGGCGACAGAGCCAGACTAAGTCTCAAAAAAAAAGAAAAAAGAATTCAAAGCCAATGTAACTAGAGGGCAAAAAAGAAAGAAAAATGATGTGGGGAATCTCTGAATGAATAATCATTTGTTAAAAGATTCCCCACATCATTTTTCTTACTTTTCTTGCTGTGTGCTAGGCATTATTCTAGCTAAAAGGAATACACTGGTGAACAAGACTAATAAGGTCCCTGCCTCTATGGAGTTGACATTTGGGATAGAGGTGGGTGTTGGAGATGGACAATAAACACGTGAATACATAATTACATATTTAATATGTAATTATATAGACGTATGTGCATGTGTAAATGAATGTGTTTACAAATTACAAGTACCAAGAATAAGATGCATTTTGTTCTTTGAAACAGGGTCTTGCTCTGTCACCCAGGCTGAAGTGCAGTGGTGCAATCCTAGCTCACTGCAGCCTCAACCTCTCAGGCAATCCTCCCACCTCAGCCTCCTGAGTAGCTGAGACTACAGGTGCACGCTACTACATCCAGCTAATTTTAAACAATTGTTTGTAAAGGTGGAGTTTCACCATGTTGCGCAGGCTGGTCTTGAACTCCTGGGCTCAAGTGATCCTCCCACCATGGTCTTCTAAATTGTTGGGATTACAGGTGTGAGCCACTGTGCCCGGCCTGGAGAGGGCTTTCTGAGGAAGTGACATTTGATCCAAGACTTGAACACTGAGAAAAGGCCAAATACATGAAAGCAGAAAGAAGAATGTTAACAACTGTGAAACAACAAAAGCAGATGCCCTGAGACAATAAAGAACCACTGCTGAGGAAGGAACCTAGAGGGAGCCAAAGGGAGAGGGCTGTGAAACAAAATGGGAGAGGCAGGCAAAGGCCAGATCACACAGCACTGGAGTTCATGGTGAGAACTTTGGACTTCATTTGAAATGCACTGAAAATCAAAGGCAAGATTTTACTGAAGGGAGTGTGACATTACATTTTAAAAAGATTATTCTGGGTGCAGTGTGAGGAATGCAATAGAGAAAAAACAAGATTGAAAGCAGAAAGGAAGTTAAAAGGCTTTTGGACTAATCAGGTGAGAAACTATAAGGTAGTTAAAATGAGGGTGGTGACAGTATAGATGGAAGGAAATGAACAGATTAGAAAGATACTTAAATGATAAAATTGATGGAACTTGGTGATTTGTTAGATATGAATACTAAAAGAGAAAGATGGTCCCCAAGCTCCTGAAAGGAGAAATTGGATGAATGTTGGTGCCATTCAATGGGATATTCAAGTGGAAATGTTAAATGTGCAGTTGAATATAGGCGCTCAGGCCGGGCGCGGTGGCTCACGCCTGTAATCCCAGCACTTTGGGAGGCCGAGGTGGGTGGATCATATGAGGTCAGGAGTTTGAGACTAGTCTGGCTAACATGGTGAACCCCATCGCTACTAAAAATAGAAAAACTAGCCGGGCATGGTGGTGCATGCCTGTAGCCCCAGCTACTTGGGAGGCTGAGGCTAGAGAATGACTTGAACCCAGGAGGCTTGAACCCAGGAGCCGAGATCGTGCCACTGCACTATAGCCTGGGTGACAGAGTGAGACTCCGTCTCAAAATAATAATAATAATAATAATAATAATAATAATAATAATAATAATAATAAAAGGAAAATAGGAGCTCAGAGGCTGGGCACGGTGGCTTGTGCCTGTAATCCCAGCTGTCTGGGAGGCCGAGGCCAGTAGATCGCTTGAGCTCGGGAGTTTGAGACCAGTCTGGGCAACATGGCAAAACCCCTTCTCTACAAAAAAATACAAAAATTAGCTGGTGCTTGGTGGCTCATGCCTGTAGTCCCAGACACTTGGGAGGCTGAGGTGGGAGGATGGCTTGAGCACTGGAAGTCAAGGCTGCAATGAGCCATGATCGCACCATTGCACTCCAGCTTGGGTGACAGAGTGAGACCCTCTAAAAAAAAAGGAAAATAGGAGCTCAGAGGAGAACTGGGGACATATTTATCCACAGGTGGTAATCAGAGCCATGGATGTGGTTAATAACCTGGCCAACGTGGTGAAACCCCGTTGCTAATTAAAAAATACAAAAATTGGCCGGGCATGGTGGCTCACGCCTGTAATCCCAGCACTTTGGGAGGCTGAGGTGGGCAGATCACCTAAAGTCAGAAGTTTGAGACTGGCCTGACCAATATGGTGAAACCCTGTCTCTACTAAAAATACAAAAATTAGCCTGGCGCAGTGGCGCACACCTGTAGTCCCAGCTACTCGAGAGGCTGAGGCAGGAGAATCACTGGAACCCAGGAGGCAGAGGTTGCAGTAGGCCGAGATCGCACCACTGCACTCCAGCCCGGGCAACAGAGGAAGACTCCATTTCAAAAATAAAAAATAAAAAATTAGCCAGGCATGGTGGCACACGCCTGTAATCCCAGCTACTCAGGAGGCTGAGGCAGGAGAATAACTTGAACCTGGGTGGCGGAGGTTGCAGTGAGCCAAGATTGCGACACTGTACTCCAGCCTAGGGGATAGAGTACGCACTCCAGCCTGGGGGATAGAGCGAGACTCTGTCTCAAAAAAAAAAAAAAAAGAAGAAAAGAATTAGCTGGGCCTGGTGGCAGGCGCAGCTACTGGAGAGGCTGAGGCAGGAGAATCGCTTGACCCCGGGAGGCTGAGGTTGCAGTGAGCTGAGATCGCGCCACTGCACTCCAGCCTGGACTAAGAGCGAAACTCCGTCTCAAAAAAAGACTGGCAGAAGAGCATAAACTGACAAAGGAGTCTAAAAAGAAATGAGCAGAGATGCAGGCAGAACACCAGGAGAGCATCATGTCACAGAATGCTGCTGAGAGTTAAGGAATACGAGGATTGAAAAACAGCCACTGGATGGAAAGACAAAGGGGTCATTGATAGCGTTGGGAAGAGTCATTTTGGGGGAGTGGATGAAGCTAGATTGCAGTGTCAAGGGAATAAGTACAAGTGACAGGGAGTGTAGATGACTGTGAGAAACGTAGACATAAAAGGGAAGAGAGATAGGCCACAGACTCATCCCTCCATAAATAACAGTTTTGTTATTACTATTTACTAGTCATTTTTCAAAAGCAAAACTTTGAGACATTTATTTACTTCCCCACATTACCAATTATTACATCATAATTCTGAGTGGCTGTCTTATATCTTCTCAGAAAAAGTGCACTATTGAGTGGCTGGCATCTCATAGAGAGCTTCAGTCTTTGGTCATAGCATTAGGAGCCCTTGGTTTCACAGGTCATTTAATAGATTGTTTAGGTACTTACACTTAAGATTTTCTTTCTTTTTTTTTTTTTTTGAGACTGAGTCTCGCTCTGTCGCCCAGGCTGGAGTGCAGTGGCACGATCTCGGCTCACTGCAAGCTCTGCCTCCCAGGTTCACACTATTCTCCTGCCTCAGCCTCCGGAGTAGCTGGGACTACAGGCGCCCGCCACCGCGCCCGGTTAATTTTTTATATTTTTAGTAGAGACGGGTTTTCACCATGTTAGCCAGGATGGTCTCGATCTCTTGACCTTGTGATCCACCCGCCTCGGCCTCCCAAAGTGCTGGGATTACAGGCGTGAGCCACTGCACCCGGCCTACACTTAAGATTTTCACCTAAGTATCCAATTTACTTGTTTAGTGGATTTTTTGATTAATTAATTTTTTTTGGAAACAGAATCTCACTGTCACCCAGGCTGGAGTGCAGTGGTACAATCATAGCTCACTGCAGCCTCGACCTCCCAGGCTCAAGTGATCCTCCCACCTCAGCCTCCCAAGTAGCTGGGAACACAGGCATGCACGACCATGCCCGGTTAATTTTTTTACTTTTTGTAGAGATGAGGTTTCACCATGTTGCCCAGTCTGGTTCTCGAACTCCTGGGCATAAGTGATCCACCTGCTTCGGCCTCCTAAAGTGCTAGGATTACAGGTGTGAGCCACTGTGCCCAGCCTTAATTAATTATTTTAACATTAATTTTATTTTTTTAAAAAATAAGCAGGCCAGGCATGGTGGCCCATGCCTGTAATCCCAGCACTTTGGGAGGCCGAGGCAGGCAGATCATCTGAAGTCAGGAGTTCGAGACCAGCCTGGCCAACATGGTGAAACCCCATCTCTACTAAAAATATAAAAATCAGCCGGGCGTGGTGGTGCACGCCTGTAGTCCCAGCTACTCGGGAGGCTGAGGCAGGAGAATCGTTTGAACCCGGGAAGTGGAAGTTGCAGTGAGCCGAGATCTCGCCACTGTACTCCAGCTTGGTGACAGAGCGAGACTCCGTCTCAAAAAAAAAAAAAGCAATACATCCAAATGCTTCAAAATTCAGAAAGAGGCCAGGCACGGTGGCTCACACCTGTAATCTCAGCACTGTGGGAGGCCAAGGCAGGCGGATCACCTGAAGTCAGGAGTTCGAGACCAGCCTGGCCAACATGGTGAAACTCCATCTATACTAAAAATACAAAAATTAGCCGGGTGTGGCGATGCACACCTGTAATCCCAGCTACTCGGGAAGCTGAGGCAGGAGAATCACTTGAACCTAGGAGGCGGAGGTTGCGGTGAGCCGAGATCGTGCCACTGCACTCCATCCTGGGCAAGGGGGAGACTCTGTCTCAAAAAAAAAAAAATTCAGAAAGAACTAAAAGTTCAGTGAAAGTTTACTTTTCACCGTATTCCTGAACCCCTAGTTTCCTTCCTGGGGCAGCTGTACTTTATTTAACCAGGAGCCTAGTGATGAACATTTGCTTGTTAACAGTCTTCTATTATGAATGAAACAATGGATAATCTTGTATATGTCATTTTGTGCATACGTGAGTGTCTTCAGTCTATTTCCCTAGAAGCTGAGACTGGTGGAGCTTCGTAGGCAAGTGATTTATTAGGAAAGTAGTCTAGGTAGAAATCTAGGAGGGTGAGGGAGGGAAGCAGGCCAGGGGAGGGGAAGAAGGAAAGCAAGAATGGTTTCAGGGGAAGTCTAGACTCAGCCTATTCCTACCGGGAGCCCTGAAGCATAAAGTGCAAGCAGAATCTGTCTGCCCTTAGGCAAGGGACCAGAACATTTGTACCCTACCATAGACAGTCACTGGTTAAAGCAGCACATAACTCCCATGAACTTCATGTCCAGGTGGCTCTAATCATCCAAGTCCAGTCCCCTGGGGTTGTAGGTACAAACCATTACCAGCAGCACCCACAGCTCCTGGGGGAATGGGCACCACAAAATGGTAGCAGGGATCCCCAGGGATTGAGGTGGGGACACCAACAGGTTTCTGCCACAGTGGATATGTTGATGAAAAGAGTCAAACTCTGTTAAATATTTGAAGAGATTTATTCTGAGCCAAATATGAGTGACCATGGCCCATGACACAGCCCTCAGGAGATTCTGAGAATATGCGCCCAAGGTGGTCGGGGCACAGCTTGGGTTTTTTTTTTTTTTTTTTTTTTGAGACGGAGTCTCGCTCTGTCACCCAGGCTGGAGTGCAGTGGCGTGATCTCTGCTCACTGCAAGCTCCACCTCCCAGGTTCACGCCATTCTTCTGCCTCAAGCCTCCCGAGTAGCTGGGACTACAGGTGCCTGCCACTGCGCCTGGCTAATTTTTTGTTTTAGTAGAGACGGGGTTTCACCGTGTTAGCCAGGATGGTCTCGATCTCCTGACCTCGTGATCCGCCCACTTTGGCCTCCCAAAGTGCTGGGATTACAGGCATCAGCCACTGCGCCCGGCCAGCTTGGTTTTATTCATTTTAGGGAGACATGAGTCATCAATCAAATACATTTAAGAAATACATTGGTTTGGTTCAGAAAGGCAGGACAATGCAAAGCCGGGGCTTCCACGCTATAGGTAAATTTAAATACTTTCTGGTTGACAGTTGGTTGAGTTTATCTGAAGGCCGGGGATCAATGGAAAGAAAATGTTCAGGTTAAGATAAAGGATTGTGGAGACCAAGTTTTATTGTGCAGAGGAAGCTCTCAGATAGCTGACTTCAGAGAGAGCAGGTTGTAAAATGTTTCTTATTGAACTTAGAAGGGTGCCTGGCTCTTAGCTGATTATCTCCTGGATCTGGAAAGGAAGGAAGGAAAACAAAGGGGGAAAGGGGATTCTCTACAGAATGTGGATTTTTCCCACAAGAGACTTTGCAGGGCTGTTTCAAGATATGGCAGAGAAACATGTTTTGCAGTAAAATATTTTGATTTTCTTCCTTGTTATGCCAGAGTCAGATTGGAAAGTAAGTCACAATATACAGGATTAAATAAAACCCATCTGATGAGAATTGATGATTTGTAGGGCATGACTCCCCAGACCCCTTAGATAGGAATTTGGGCAAAAAAAAAAATCAGAGCTTAGTCCTCATATATCACTATAGGATACATTCCTGGAGGTAAAATTGCTGGATGAAGTCAACACTATTAGTTGCCTATTTAAAAAATATCCCCCTCTACACATACACACACACACACACACACACACACACACCCCATTTTTTGTAATAGAACCCTGCTTTTATTTGAAATAGCCATGTGTTCAATTTAAAAACTCACTTTCCCATCCTCATTTGCACTTGTGCTGGTCATGTGACGCTGCTTTTAGCAATAAGATGAAGGTGGTGGTTTCTGAGGGTAGTGTCCTTTTCAGAATAAAAAGACAAAGCTTATTTGCCTTCTTCTTCCTTTACTTTATATTCCTCTTTCTGCCAGGAATATAAATGTGACTCTGTGGTGTCACGCGCATCCGTGTGAAGAGACCACCAAACAGGCTTTGTGTGAGCAACAAGGCTGTTTATTTCAACTGGGTGCAGGCGGGCTGAGTCCAGAAAGAGTCAGCGAAGGGAGATAGGGGTGGGGCCGTTTTATAGGATTTGTGTGGGTAGTGGAAAATTACAGTCAAAAGGGGTTTTTCTCTTGCAGGCATAGGTGGGGGTCACAAGGTGCTCAGTGGGGGAGTTTCTAAGCCAGGAGAAGGAATTTCACAAGGTTAATCGCTCAGTTAAGGTGGGGCAGCAACAAATCACAATGGTGGGATGTCATAAGTTAAGGCAGGAATGGGCCATTTTCACTTCTTCTGTGATTCTTCAGTTACTTCAGGCCATCTGGATGTATACGTGCAGGTCACAGGGGATATGATGGCTTAGCTTGGGCTCAGAGGCCTGACATGTGGGTACAGCAGCTATCTTGTGACCATGAAACGGAGGCAGGAAAATGAAGACCTGTGCACCAAAATGCAGGAAGTCAACGTCATATGTATTAAAATACACTGCGGTAAGTGTCTTCTCTTTCCCAAGTCTCGGTGCATAATTATGTCAACAAAAAGAGTCAAACTCTGTAAAATATTTGAAGAAATTTATTCTGCCAAACATGAGTGATCATGGCCCATGACACAGCCCTCAGGAGATCCTGAGAATGTGTACCCAAGGCGAATGGGGTGCAGCTTAGTTTTATACATTTTAGGGAGACATGAGACTTCAATCAAATACATTTAGGAAATACACTGGTTCAGTTCAGAAAGGCAAGACAACTGGAAGGGGGCTGCCAGGTTGCAGGTAGATTTAAAAATTTTCTGGTTGACAATTGGTTGAGTTTATCTAAAGACCTGGGATGAATAGAAAGGAAATGTCTGGGTTAAGATGAAGGATTATGGAGACCAAAGTTCTGATGTGCAGAGGAGGCCTTCAGGTAGTGGGCTTGAGAGAGAATAGGCTGTAAAATGTTTCTTATCAGACTGAATTCTGTGTTGATATTAATGCCGGAGAGGTATAACAAGGCATGTCTGACCACCCCCTTCCATCACGGCCCGAACCAGTCTTTCAGGTTAAATTTTAAAAGTGCCCTGGCCAGGAGAAAGTCCATTCAGATGGTTGGGGGGCCTTAGAATTTTATTTTTGGTTTAGAATTATTACACAACTTTACTTTCATTTATATGGTATTTTATGAATTACAAGTATGCTTTCACAGACCTTTTCCTTCCACCTCACTTTATTTTTACAGTGTCTCCCATCCACATGACAAGTATTGGTGAGAGGTGACAGCGTGCTGGCAGTCCTCAGAGCCCTCGCTTGCTCTCGGCACCTCCCCTGCCTGGGCTCCCAGTTTGGTGGCATTTGAGGATCCCTTCAGCCCCCCCACTGCACTGTGGGAGCCCCTTTCTGGGCTGGCCAAGGCCGGAGCCCACTCCCTTAGCTTGCAGGGAGGTGTGGAGGGAGAGGCACGAGCGGGAACCGGGGCTGCCTGCGGCGCTTGCGGGCCAGCTGGAGTTCCGGGTGGGCGTGGGCTTGGTGGGCCCCGCACTCGGGCAGCCAGTCAGCCCTGCTGGCCCCAGGTAATGGGGGACTTAGCACGCGGGCCAGTGGCTGCGGAGGGTGTACTGGGTCCCCCAGCAGTGCTGGCCCACCGGCGCTGCGCTCGATTTCTCGCCGGGCCTTAGCTGCCTTCCCACGGGGCAGGGCTCGGGACCTGCAGCCCGCCATGCCTGAGCCTCCCACCCCCTCTGTGGGCTCCTGTGCGGCCCGAGCCTCCCCGACGAGCACCACCCCCTGCTCCAAGGCGCCCAGTCCCATCGACCACCCAAGGGCTGAGGAATGCGAGCAAACGGCGCAGGACTGGCAGGCAGCTCCACCTGCAGCCACGGTGCGGGATCCACTAGGTGAAGCCAGCTGGGCTCCTGAGTCTGGTGAGGACGTGGAGAGTCTTTATATCTAGCTCAGGGATTGTAAATACACCAATCAGCACCCTGTGTTTAGCTCAAGGTTTGTGAGTGCACCAGTCGACACTCTGTATCTAGCTGCTCTGGTGAGGACGTGGAGAGTCTTTATATCTAGCTCAGGGATTGTAAATGCACCAATCAGCACCCTGTGTTTAGCTCAAGGTTTGTGAGTGCACCAGTCTACAGTCTGTATCTAGCTGCTCTGGTGAGGACGTGGAGAGTCTTTATATCTAGCTCAGGGATTGTAAATACACCAATCAGCACCCTGTGTTTAGCTCAAGGTTTGTGAGTGCACCAATTGACACTCTGTATCTAGCTGCTCTGGTTGGGCCTTGGAGAACCTTTATGTCTAGCTCAGGGATTGTAAATACACCAATCGGCACTCTGTATCTAGCTCAAGGTTTGTAAACACACCAATCAGCACCCTGTGTTTAGCTGAAGGTTTGTGAGTGCACCAATCGACACTCTGTATCTAGCTGCTCTGGTGGGGCCTTGGAGAACCTGTGTGTGGAAACTCTGTATCTAACTAATCTGATGGGGACGTGGAGAACCTTTGTATCTAGCTCAGGGATTGTAAACGCA
Source organism: Homo sapiens (assembly GCF_000001405.40). Classification (NCBI taxonomy): domain Eukaryota; kingdom Metazoa; phylum Chordata; class Mammalia; order Primates; family Hominidae; genus Homo; species Homo sapiens. The sequence goes on along the minus strand of NC_000012.12, from coordinate 31,805,085 downwards.
CCAATCAGCGCCCTGACGAAACAGGCCACTCGGCTCTACCAATCAGCAGGATGTGGGTGGGGCCAGATAAGAGAATAAAAGCAGGCTGCCTGAGCCAGCATTGGCAACCAGCTCGGGTCCCCTTCCACACCGTGGAAGCTTTGTTCTTTCACTCTTTGCAATAAATCTTGCTACTGCTCACTCTTCGGGTCCAGGCTGCTTTTATGAGCTGTAACACTCACCGCGAAGATCTGCAGCTTCACTCCTGAGCCAGCGAGACCACGAACCCACCAGAAGGAAGAAACTCCAAACACATCTGAACATCAGAAGGGACAGACTCCAGACGTGCCACCTTAAGAGCTGTAACACCGCGAGGGTCCGCAGCTTCATTGTTGAAGTGAGACCAAGAACCCACCAATTCCGGACACATTGGTACTCTTGAAAAAAAAAATCTCCCGCAGTACTAAAAGCTAATAATTCATTGATGACTAATTTTGACTTAGTTTACTTTCCTTATAACAACTAGCTGAGATGAGCTACTCTAAAAGTATAGGATGTAAAATATGGGAAAAGTAATCTTGTAACAAAGAGTCTTTTGGGAAGGGATCCATACCCCAAAATAGAAGTACAGGGTAGAGTCCGGTGAGAGCACCAAAGATCAAAAAAAAGATGCAGTAAATGGGAGGGAAGGAGGGCAGAAGGGATACCCATGTGTTACTGAAGTCAACTTTTATTTATTCTGAAGTTTTGCACTATAGTCTGTGGGAAATACATTTTCTCTGTATTACTGAGTGTTCCTGCAAACTCAGGCTCTTGAACCACAGATATTAATCTACTATGAAAATGAAAATGCTTGCTTTCATTTCCCCCATAAATATTTGTTCTCTACAACCTTCATTATAGAGACACTGGCTTCCACTTAAAGGATAATAAAACTTCTCTTACCTGGAGGCAGAGCCTTACATTCCAGGATAGGGAACTTCCCCTCCTCCCTAGAAAGATCTCTGAAAGAATGTAGAGAACTATCTCTCCATGAGTTTGCAAGTCAAAAGTGGAGAAAAGCCTCAAAGAGGCTGATTTTATCTTCCCAGTAGAGATAGATACTTAGATTCCAAAAGGTGAGAATCCACAAACTCCTTTCCTTTTTGTTCCTAAGGAAAATGTGTTTACCTTAGGGAACAAAGCTTTTCCCTCTCCTTTGAGGAGAGTCTCTTTCCTATATGAATTCTCAGGCTTGAGGACAACTCAGCAATGTCGCTGTGGCTACTCTTATTGCTGTGAGTAAATAAAGCTCTGATCTTTGACTAGACGAAACCTGATGTTTCGTCTAGTATCTATTTATCATCTCTATCTATGTGCTTATTTATGACTATGCAAGTGGGGTAAGATCTCACATCCATCACAGTTGCCTTTTTTTTTTTAAGAGACAGGGTCTTGCTATACTGCCCAGGCTGGTCTGAAACTCCTGGCCTCTAGCAATCCTCCCACATTGGCCTCCCAAAGTGTTGGTATTACAGACATGAGCTACCTTGCCTGGTCCCATCACAGTTTTTGATTTGACATAATCCTCCTTTAAAAAATTGGTAAATTATGCTTGCTTCAGCATATATATGTGTATATGTGTGTACATATGTATATATACACATGCGTGCATGTATGTATATATGCACATGTGCGTGCACGTATGTATATATGTACATGTGCGTGCACGTATGTGTGTATGCACATATGTGTGTGTGTGTGTGTGTGTGTGTGTGTGTGTGTATTTTTTTGAGACAGAGTCTCGTTCTGTTGCCCAGGCTGCAGTGCAGTGGCGTGATCTCGGCCCACTGCAAGCTCCGCCTCCCGGGTTCACGTCATTCTCCTGCCTCAGCCTCCTGAGTAGCTGGGACTACAGGTGCCCGCCACGGCGCCCGGCTTATTTTTTGTATTTTTAATAGAGACGGGGTTTCACCGTGTTAGCCAAGATGGTCTCGATCTCCTGACCTTGTGATCTGCCTGCCTTGGCCTTCCAAAGTGCTGGGATTACAGGTGTGAGCCACCGCGCCCGGCCTAGCATATATATTAAAATTGGATGTTACGAAGAAGATTAGCATGCCTCCTGTGAAAGGATGACATGCTGACGTGGAAATTCGTGCTCCATATTTTTTCTTAACTGGTAAATTACTATTTAATAGTGAATCACCCAACATTGTGGGGTTTTTTTGTTTTTTTGTTTTTTTTTTTTGAGACAGAGCCTCACTGTGTCTCAGCCTGGAGTGCAGTGGCATGATCTTGGCTCACTACAACCTCCACCTCCTGGGTTCAAGCGATTCTTCTGCCTCAGCCACCTGAGTAGCTGGGATTACAGGCCGGCCCATGCCACCACACGCAACTAATTTTTGTATTTTTAGTAGAGATGTGGCTTTGTCATGTTGCCCAGGCTAGTCTGGAACTCCTGGCCTCAAGTGAGGCCCACCTCAGTCTCCCAAAGTGCTGGGACTACAGGCATAAGCCACCGCTCTGGGCCTGTATTTCTAATATATATATATACAAGATCATTTATGTAGTTTACTGCCAAAAATGGAAGAAACCTCATCATGAAGAGACATTTAGAAAACCTAAATTGATGAACATTCTAAAAATCTATTTGTCTGTGAAGACTAAGCTCTGATTTTTTTTTTTTCATCTTGCCTAAATTCCTATCTTAAGGGTCTGGAGAGTCATGGCCTACAAACTATAAATTCTCATCAGATGGGTTTGATTTAACCCTATATATCGTGACTTACTTTCCAATCTGACTCTGGCATAACATTATGTGACAAAGAAGAAAGTCAAAATATTTTACCCCAAAACATGTTTCTTTGCCATATTTTGAAATGGCCCTGCACAGCTGTCCTTTGGAGGGGAAGATTCACATCTGTAAAGAATCTCTATTAACATAGCTATATCTTTTTCTTCCAGGCCCTCCGAACCCTGAAGAGATCATCATATATATGTGCTGCCGAAGCGAGCACTCCTGAAGAGATTAACTAAGAGTCTAGCACCTTTTAAGGTCTGAATAGGAAACATCTGTCATCTATTCTCTCTAAGGGCAGCCACTATAAGAGTTCAAAAGAAACTTGCTCGCCACAATCTTTTTTTTTTTTTTTTGAGATGGAGTCTCACTCTGTTGCCCAGGCTGGAGTAGAGTGGCACCATCTTGTCTCACTGCAACCTCCACCTCCCAGGTTCAAGTGATCCTCCTGCCTCAGGCCCCCTAGTAGCTAGGATTACAGGCACGCATCACCATGCCTGGCTAATTTTTTTTTTTTTTTTGAGATGGAGTTTCATGCTGTTGCCCAGGCTGGAGTGCAATGGCGCCATCTTGACTCACTGCAACCTCCATCTCCTGGGTTCAAGCCATTCTCCTGCCTCAACTTCCCGAGTAGCTGGGATTACAGGCGCCTGCCACCACGCCCAGCTAATTTTTGTATTTTTAGTAGAGAAGCGGTTTCACCATGCTGGCCAGGCTGGTCTCGAACTCCCGACCTCAGGCTATCCGCCTGCCTCAGCCTCCCAAAGTGCTGGGATTATAGATGTGAGCCAGTGCGACTGGCCTAAGTGCTGGGATTACGGGAGTGAGCCGCTGCGCCTGGCCTAAGTGCTGGGGTACAGGCGTGAGCCACCAGGCCAGCGAAGTCTCCACAATCTTTTTTTTCTTTTTTTTTTGAGGCAGAGTCTCCCTCTGTCACCAGGCTGGATTGCAGTGGCGATCTCGGCTCACTGCAACCTCTGCCTCCCAGGTTCAAGCAATTCTCCTGCCTCAGCCTCCTGAGTAGCTGGGACTACAGGAACGCACCACCAACCCCAGCTAATTTTTGCATTTTTGGTAGAGACAGGGTTTCTCCATGTTGGCCAGGATGGTCTCCATCTCTTGACCTCGTGATCTGCCCACCTCTGCCTCCCAAAGTGCTGGGATTATAGGTGTGAACGACCGTGCCCGGCCCCCACAATCTTTTATCTTAACCTGAGCATTTCCTTTCTATGGATCCCAGGTCTTTAGACAAACTCATCCAATTGTCAACCAGAAAATGTTTAAATTTACCTATAGCCTGGAAGGCCCCCCGACCGACGCCCTCCCGCCCCCGCCCCCGCCGCCCCTCCACTGCCTTATCTGCTTTGAGTTGTCCCGCCTTTCTGGACCAAACCAATGTACTTCTTAAATGTATTTGATTAATGTCTCATGCCCTCCCTAAAATGTATAAAACCAAGCTGCACCCAACCACCTTGGGCACATGTTCTCAGGATCTCCTGAGGGCTGTGTCACAGACCATGGTCACTCATATTTGGCTCAGAATAAATTTCTTTAAATATTTTACAGAGTTTGACTCTTTTTGTCAACACTGTGCACTTCAAAAATGTTCATGTCATAGAAAACAAAGTTTGAGGAACTGTTCTAGATTAAAGGAGCCCAAATAGACACGAGAACTAAATGAAATGTGTGAAGGGAGAAGGATTGTTACAGAAGGCATTACTGGGACAATTGGCAAAATTTGAATATGGACTATATATTGATAATCATAGTGTATCAATGTTAAATGTCCTGAATTTGGTGATTGTACAGTAAGAGAATATCTTTCTTCAAGGATAGACACTAAATTATTTAGGCATGTTGGGTTGTGATATCTATAACTTAATTTCAAATGGAGAGAAAGAGAAAAAAACAAATGTGGCAAAATGTTTACTAACAATTAGTGATCTAGGTGAAGGGCGTTTCAGTTCATTGCACTATTCTTGCAACTTTTCTCTAGTTTATATTGTTTTCAAAATAAAAGGTTTTGTGAAAGAAGGAAAAACATTCCCAACAAGAAAAGCCTAGATCTGATGCTGTGGCTCACATCTGTAATTCCAGCAATTTGAGAGGCCGAGGCAGGCAGAACACTTGAGGCCAGGAGTTCCAGACAAGCCTGGCCAACATGGTGAAACCCGGTCTTAACTAAAATACAAAAATTAGGCTGGGTGCAGTGGCTTACCCCTGTAATCCCAGCACTTTGGGAGGCCAAGGCGGGTGGCTCACCTGAGGTCAGGAGTTTGAGACCAGCCTGGACAACATGGAGAAACCCTGTCTCTACTAAAAATACAAAAATTAGCCGGGCATGGTGGCAGGCACCTGTAATCCCAGCTACTTGGGAGGCTGAGGCAGGAGAATCGCTTGAACCCGGGAGGCAGAGGTTGCAGTGAGCCAAGATCACGCCACTGCACTCCAGCCTGGGTGACAAAGTGAGACCCTATCTCAAAAATAAATAAATAAAATAATAAAATAAAATACAAAAATTAGTTGGGCCTGGTGGTGGGCGCCTGTAATCCCAGCTAATCTGGAGGCTGAGGCAGGAGAATTGCTTGAGCCCTGGAGGCAGAGGTTGCAGTGAGCCAAGATAGTGCCACTGCACTCCAGCCTGGGTGACAGAGCAAGACTCCATCTGAAAAAAAAAAAAAAGGAGAAAAGTCTAACGTGTCAGGCACTGAGCTAAGCATAAGCCCTAGAGATGAGTAATGGATGTGATATATTCCCAGGCCACAAAATCCAACAGTCTAGTGAAGGAGATATGCAAGTAAATTAATATCATGTGACAAAATAAAAAAGGAAGGCTTTTTTTTTTTTTTTTTGAGACAGAGTCTTGCTCTGTCGCCAGGCTGGAGTGCAGTGGCACGATCTCAGCTCACTGCAACCTCCGCCTCCTGGGTTTAAGCGATTCTCCTGCCTCAGCCTCCTGAGTAGCTGGGACTACAGATGCAAGCCACCACACACAGCTAATTTTTGCATTTTTAGTAGAGACGGGGTTTCTCCATGTTGGCCAGGATGGTCTCCATCTCTTGACCTCGTGATCTGCCCCCTTGGCCTCCCAAAGTGCTGGGATTACAGGTGTGAGCCACCACACCCAGCCAAGGAAGCCTATTATTTTGGAGTATGATTATGGACATTTTCTTCACTTGGCCTCTGCAATATCATTGTATTTATTTATTTATTTATTTATTTATTTATTTATTTATTGAGATGGAGTTTTGCTCTTGTTGCCCAGGCTGGAGTGCAATGGTGTGATCTTGGCTCACAGCAACCTCTGCCTCCCGAGTTCAAGCCATTCTCCTGCCTCAGCCTCCAGAGTAGCTGGGATTACAGGCACGCGCCACCACGCCCGGCTAATTTTGTATTTTTAGTAGAGACAGGGTTTCTCCATGTTGGTCAGGCTGGTCTCAAACTCTCGACCTCAGCTGAACCACCCGCCTCAGCCACCCAAAGTGCTGGGATTACATGTGTAAGCCACCGCTCCTGGCCGTCTCTTTTTATTTATTTTCATTTTTTTATTTTTGGGACGGAGTCTTGCTCTTGTTGCCCAGGCTGGAGTGCAATGTCGCGATCTCGGCTCACCGCAACCTCCACCTCCCGGATTTAAGCAATTCTTCTGCCACAGCCTCCTGAGTAGCTGGGACTACAGGCGCACAACACCACACCTGGCTAATTTTGCGTTTTTTTGTTTGTTTGTTTTTGTTTTTGTTTTTTTGAGACGGAGTATCGCTGTCGCCCAGGCTGGAGTGCAGTGGCGTGATCTCGGCTCACTGCAAGCTCCGCCATTCTCGTGCCTCAGCCTCCCGAGTAGCTGGGACTACAGGCGCCCGCCAACACGCCCGGCTAATTTTTTGTATTTTTAGTAGAGACGGGGTTTCACCGTGTTAGCCAGGATGGTCTCGTGATCCGCCCGCCTCGGCCTCTTAAAATGCTGGGATTACAGGCGTGAGCCACCGCGCCCGGCCAGGGACACTTTCATCACATATCCATATGGCTTACTCTCTCATTTCTATTCAGATACCACCTTGACAGCGGAGCTGTCCCAGACTACCCTTGTGTAAAGCAGTATTTCCACACCCCTCCCCTGGACTACCTGTCCTCCTTACACTATAATAATTTTCTCCCATAACACCTATTATCATTTCTATAATAGACACATTATCTATCTATTGTAGTTTTTGTGTCACCCAATTAAATGTAAACTCCTTGACAGTAAAGACTTAGTTTCATTCACTGATACAGCCCTAGACCTAGACCAACACCTGTTGTATATACTAGACACTCAAAAAATATGTGTTGAATGTATGAATGGTTATAGTATGTAAAAAAATCCCACAAAGGATTTACACAGAATTGTAAATAATAACTGTATTAGGTTAAGAACCTTGGAAAATAAAGAACAAGGTCATATAGAGCGGGTATGTGGAGGATTTTTAGTTCCATGGAAAAGTCGCCCCAGTCAGCAGTGAGGGAGGAAGTTGAATAGTTGGTTCTCGGACATGAGATAAGAGAATGAAAACCGAATTATGTTTCGGCCGTAAGACTACCAGATCTCCAGTAAGTCAAGAACACTGGAAGCTGGCCAAAAAGGTGGGTAAAGGGCCCCACACAATGGGACTTCCCGGGCATGTCCTGGTTACTGTAGAAGTGTCTCCTCCTCAAGGCAATGTTATAACGACAAGTGAGGGAAATAGTCAACAAGGGCTGCAAAGCACGTTGGTCTAATTAGTGCCCCCTTGCCTAGAGATCTGGGGAGAAGTCTGAGGAGGGAGTATCCAAAGATGACATAACCTGAGTGCAGATTTTCAATTGTAAGTGAAAAGTGAGCTGAGCCTGTGCTCAAGGACTTCCTGCGTGCTGAGCACCCATGCTGAGCACTCTCTCTCACTAGCTTGCTGATTGGGGTTTGGGTTTATAAATTTCATGTTTTACTCACCAACACTAACTCATTTTATACTTCAATCGAAACAGAATGTGTGAGTCCAGGCGCGGTGGCTCATGCCTATAATCCCAGCACTTTGGGAGGCAGAGGCAGGCAGATGGCTTGAGCTCAGGCGTTGTAGACCAGCCTGGGCAATGCAGCGAAACACCATCTTCACCAAAAATACAAAAATATTAGCCAGGTATGGTGGCATGTGCCTGTAGTACCAGCTACTCTGGAGGCTAAGGTAGGAGGATTGCTTGAGCCCAGGAAGATGAGGGTGCAGTGAGCCAAGATCGCGCCACTGCACTCCACCCAGACTCTGTCTCAAAAAAAAAAAAAAAGTGGGTTTTTTTTTTCTGGAAGGAAATAGAACATATTCTCTAATATTCTCTAAGTGGTTTGTGTGCTTTGGCACACAAAAGAATGAAATGACGATGGCCTTTCTCACTGGTTGGTTTGCTGTTCCCGCAGTTAGAAGAGACTGCCCACATAGGGAGAGTGGCACAGAGGAGAGTAACATCAATCAACAGCGAATATGCACTTGATCGCGGTCTAATCAGCACCAGGCACCTCAGGGCAGCAGTATTGTCAGACGCATTGGAACCAGAGGGACTCCATCTTGAATAAGGTCTGGGTAAAATGAGGCTAACACCTACTGGGCTGCATTCCCAGGAGGTTAAGCATTCTTAGTCACAGGACAAGATAGGTCAGCAGGACAAGATAGAGGTCATAAAGACCCTGCTGATAAAACAATGCCATAAAGAAGGCAGCCAAAACCTGCCAAAACCAAGGTGGTGATGAAAGTGACCTCTAGTTGTCCTCACTGCTCACTATACGCTAATTATAATGCATTAGCATACTCAAAGACACTCCCAGCAGCACCACGACAGTTTACAAACGCCATGGCAACATTAGGAAGTTACCCTATATGGTCTAAAAGGGGAGGAACCCTCAGTTAGGGTAAATCCCTGCCCTTTTCCTGGAAAACTCATGAATGATCCACCCCTTGTTTAACATATAATCAAGAAATAACTATACGTGTACTCAGTTGAACATCCCGTGCCACTGCTCTGCCTATGGAGTAGCCATTCTTTTATTCTTTTACTTCTCTAATAAACTTGCTTTCACTTTACTTTATGAACTCGCCCCAAATTCTTTCTTGTGCAGGATCCAGAACCTTCTCTTGGGGTCTGGATTGGGACACCTTTCCTGTAACAGTATTAGTCATAACTATTATCTGAAAAAGTATATTTATATGGTACTTTACAAATTCAATTTTGCACAATAGACTCTGACTTATGTCATTCTCACAATCACCCCATAATGTCAATCCTCCCATTTCACAATAAAGAAATTGAGGCTCAGGCTGGAGACGGTGGCCCACACTTATAATCCCAGCACTTTGGGAGGCTGAGGCAATGGGATCATTTGAGGATCGGAGTTTGAAACCAGCATGGGCAACATGGTGAGATTCCAGTTCTACAAAAAAAAAAAATGTTTTTGGCCGGGCGCGGTGGCTCACACCTGTAATCCCAGCACTTTGGGAGGCCGAGGCGGGTGGATCACGAGGTCAGGAGATCGAGACCATCCTGGCTAACATGGTGAAACCCCGTCTCTACTAAAAATACAGAAAACTAGCCGGGCATGGTGGCGGGCACCTGTAGTCCCAGCTACGCAGGAGGCTGAGGTAGGAGAATGGCATGAACCCGGGACGCGGAGCTTGCAGTGAGCCAAGATTGCACCACCACACTCCAGCCTGGGCAACAGAGCGAGACTCCATCTCAAAAAAAAAAAATTGTTTTTAATTAGTTGGGCTTGGTGGGGCGATTCTAGTCCCAGGTACAAGGGACACTGAGGCAGGAGGATTGCTTGAGCCCAGGAGTTTGGGGCTGCTGCAGTGAGCCGAGATCACACCATTGCACTTTAGCCTGAGTGACAGAATGAGACCCTGTCTCAAAAAAAAAAAAAAGAAAAGAAGAAGAAGAAGAAGAAATTGAGGCTCAAGGAGGTTAGGGTGAATTGCTCAAAGCCATTCTGATGTGACCGACACCTAGAGTGAACATATGTCCTGATGTGTCCAGGACAGCCTCAGTTTATGCCTGCCTATTGTCCTGGTGTAATTATTAATAGCACCTTTTCACTCCCCGGAGTATCCTGGTTGGATAGTAAATTATATGGTCACTCTACCAAAACCTGTTTCTTTCATTCACTTAAATCCAATCTTTTATTTCATTACTGCCTTATTTCCTCCACTTAGGCAGCTTCAGGATGATTATAACAGCTGAAAAGGCTGGCTTCAGACCATGGTATCACTTCTATGAGAGAGGACATTTCAAGTTGCAAACAAACAATTCAACCAGTGACTTTTAAATTTGAAAACTACCAGTATAGTACGGCAGTGAAGAGATCAGGGTCTGAATCTCCATTAGCATAGACATTATTCAAAATGTCAGGCCTGAGAAGGAGCTAAAAAACGGCCTGTCTTGGGGGAAGAAACGGCAAGAATTTTATCGAACTTCAGCTGGAGTGGGAGAGGGGACTGTCAGCCAGAATGCGGCTAGTTTGGGGAAGAGTTGGTCAAAGAGATTCTTGAAAGAGGGAGGAATTGTTGTTGCAGATGAGCAGCCACTGTTTGGGCACTTTGGATTGATCAGCCTGGACAGGAGGAACAGTTAGGGGCTAAGATCCTGCACAGGAAGAGGTGGAAGGAACAACTACAGGCAAAGGGGACCTGCAGGGGAAAATGTTCCATGTGGAAAATGCTAGGACTTCAGGGTCTCTTAGGTTAGTTAACTCTTCTGAGCCTCATTTTCCTCATCTGTAAAATGAGGATGTTAACAGTTTAAGGTTGATTCTGAGGATGGAATGTACTCAGTACATAAGTGTTCAGCAAACAGTAGTAGCTCTTATTGTTTGAGTCTCTTCCCCGCCTTGTGCCCCTAGTGTAGTAGTAAGGGTACGGATTTTCTTTTTTTTGTTTGTTTTTGTTTTTGTTTTTGGAGGAGTCTCGCTCAGTCGCCCAGGCTGAAGTGCAGTGGCGCGATCTCCGCTCACTGCAAGCTCCGCCTCCCGGGTTCACGTCATTCTCCTGCCTCAGCCTCCCGAGTAGCTGGGACCACAGGCGCCTGCTACCATGCCCACCTATTTTTTTTTGTATTTTTAGTAGAGACGGCGTTTCACCGTGTTAGCCAGGATGGTCTCCATCTCCTGACCTCGTGATCCGCCCGCCTCGGCCTCCCAAAGTGCTGGGATTACAGGCGTGAGCCACCGCCCGGCTGGGTACGGATTTTCTTTACGCTGTATATAAAAGTCTGAGAAACTATCAATTGCTTATAATAAAGAATGAAAACTCCAAAGGCATCTGGGGTGAGGTTGAGGGTCTGCACAGAGATTATGGGGGAAGGGGACGTCCAAAGCTGTCATTGGATTCAGGCACTCAACAGATTGGAACACAGTGTAGAGATTTATGGTAGTGTGAAGGTGCTTTATTTGTTATGAATTACTCAGAGATTTTACTATATTTTAACCTGGGGCGGGGAACCCTTCCTTTTTTTGCCCTTTTGAAAATAAGGTAGATTTCTTCAGATGTGGAAAGTATCAATGGTCAATCCAATAGCTTTTCGTTATTTTATTTTTTTATTTTTGGAGGCAAAGTCTCACTCTGTTACCCTGGCTGGAGTGCAGTAGTGCAATCTGGGCTCATTGCAACATTTGCCTCCTAGGTTCAAGCAAGTCTCCTGCCTCAGCCTCCCGAGTAGCTGGGACTACAGGCGTATGCCACCACGCTTGGCTAATTTTTGTATTTTTAGTAGAGACAGGTTTTGCCATGTTGGCCAGGCTCGTCTCAAACTCCTGACCTCGTGATCCACCTGCCTCGGCCTCCCAGTGCTACCATTACAGGCGGAGCCACCACACCTGGCTCACTTTGTGGCATATTTCTAGAAGTTAAAAAACTCACCTGACAAAAGAGATACTTTGTGGCCAGGCACGGTGGCTCACTCCTGTAATCCCAGCACTTTGGGAGGCTGAAGTGGGTGGATCACTTCACGTCAGGAGTTCGAGACCAGCCTGGCGAAAATGGTAAAACCCCCGTCTCTACTAAAAATACAAAAATTAGCCAGGTGTGGTGGCAGGCACCTGTAATCCCAGCTACTTGGGAGGCTGAGACAGGAGAATTGCTTGAACCTGGGAGGTGGAGGTTTCAGCGAGACGAGATCGTGCCATTGCACTCCAGCCTGGGTGAGGACAGTGAAACTCCATCTCCCAAAAAACAAAAAAAAAAAAAAAAAAGAGAGAGAGAGAGAGAAACTTTATGATTTACTCCATGGAACAAATATCATATAGAACTGTAACATTTAAAAGTCAGATTTCTGTTTCTAAACTTTAGGTTTATACCTCTTGGCAGATGACTAGATGATTCTTTCCCCATTCCAAGAGTAACAGATATTCAGCCAACTTGTGTGTGTGTTTATCACATGTGATTCCACATTTCAGTTTGTTTCTCTATATTTTTTGTATTTTAAATTGGACAAGTATTACTTTTATAATAAGAAAAAAGATAATTACTAAAAATAAATGAGAAATACATATACATGTAGAATTTGCATAGTGTCAAGTAAATGATAAGGGTAGAAAGAGTGCAGAGAAAAAAAGGATGAAAACGAAGGTGGCTGAAGAATGCTTTGTGACGGAGGTGGGATTGAAATGAGCTTTGAAAGGCCGGGTGCAGTGGCTCACACCTGTAATCCCAGTAATTTGGGAGGCTGCGGCGGGCGGATCACCTGAGGTCAGGAGTTTGAGACCAGCCTGGCCAACATGGTGAAACTCCGTCTCTACTAAAAATACAAAAATTAACCAGGTGTGGTGGCAGGCGCCTGTAATCCCAGCTACTCTGGAGGCTGAGGCAGGAGAATCGCTCGAACCTGGGAGGTGGAGGTTGTAGTGAACCGAAATCACGCCACTGCACTCCAGCCTGGGCAACAAAGCGAGACTCCGTCTCAAAAAACAAAACAACAACAAAAAACGAAACACCGAAATGGGCTTTGAAGAATGGAAGGGATGCAGATAAAAGAGAGGAGGGCGCAGAGCGGTTTGGTCGTTCGTTGGACCAGTGTCGGTTCTTCGCTCGCGACTGCGGCTCTTCCTCGGGCAGCGGAAGCAGCGCGGAGGTCGGAGAAGTGGCCTAAAACTTCGGCGTTGGGTGAAAGAAAATGGCCCGAACCAAGCAGACTGCTCGTAAATCCACCGGTGGGAAAGCCCCCCGCAAACAGCTGGCCACGAAAGCTGCCAGGAAAAGCACCCCCTCTACCTGCGGGGTGAAGCCTCATCGCTACAGGCCTGGGACCGTGGCGCTTCGAGAGATTCGTCGTTATCAGAAGTCGACCGAGCTGCTCATCCGGAAGCTGCCCTTCCAGAGGTTGGTGAGGGAGATCGCGCAGGATTTCAACACTGACCTGAGGTTTCAGAGCGCAGCCGTCGGTGCGCTGCAGGAGGCTAGCGAAGCGTACCTGGTGGGTCTGTTGGAAGATACTAACCTGTGTGCCATCCACGCTAAGAGAGTCACCATCATGCCCAAAGACATCCAGTTGGCTCGCCGGATACGGGGAGAGAGAGCTTAAGTGAAGGCAGTTTTTATGGCATTTTGTAGTAAATTCTGTAAAATACTTTGGTTTAATTGGTGACTTTTTTTGTAAGAAATTGTTTATATGTTGCATTTGTACTTAAGTCATTCCATCTTTCACTCAGGATGAATGCGAAAAGTGACTGTTTACAGACCTCAGTGATGTCAGCACTGTTGCTCAGGAGTGACAAGTTGTTAATATGCAAAACGGATGCGTGATATTTCTTGCTTCTCATGATGCATGTTTCTGTATGTTAATGACTTGTTGGGTAGCTATTAAGGTACTAGAATTGATAAATGTGTACAACAGGGTCCTTTTGCAATAAAACTGGTTATGACTTGATCCAAGTGTTTAACAATTGGGGCTGTTAAGTCTGACCATACATCACTGTGATAGAATGTAGGCTTTTTCAAGGGTGAAGATACAAACCTTAACCACAGTGTAACTTATAGTTTCCTTTAAAAAAAAAAAATTAAACCTGGCAGCTATAGAATACAATATGTGCATTTATAATAGCTATTTTATATATTGTAGTGTCAACATTTTCAAATTAAATGTTTTACATTCACAAGTGGTGGGGAGTCTTGTCATTAAGGTGTGTGTAATTTAGAGTCCAGTTGGTTTTCTTCTGACTGCACTTGTTCTCATAGTAGTAAAATGCTATGTGCATTTATACCTTGCATAAATCCTCATTCTACCACATGTTAACTAACCCTCTAGCTGATAATGGAAACACTAACTGGGGGATTTTATTTATAAGGGCTCTAGAAAAAAATATGAGTTATTCACACCAGCATCATCTGTTAACTAATATTCTGAACTAGTGCAGCTTTTCATTGTGTTGTGTGGTTGGTCTCATAACTAGGTTGAGTTTTCTCCTCTGCTAAGAGGAAACAGTACTGAAGTTCTTTTTCTTGTGGCATTTGTATTATAAAAACTTGGTGTAGGGGAGGAGCACAAAGCTCTAGCCCACTGAACCTCTGCCGGTTAAGATGGTGTTAGGTTAGGTTACATCTGGTTACTGTCCTGGGAAAATCATTTTTATAGAGATGGCCTTCCAAGTGGTTTTAAAATTTATCTTATTGAAGTTTTTAGGTCAATTATGTATGTTGACTAAATTTACAAATAAACTTGTTTATCCAAAAAAAAAAAAAGAGAGGAAAAGAATCAGAAATATTGGAGAGTAGAAATGCAACAGAAGAGAACTATAAAGTTTATGTTGGGGGAAAACAATTAGTTTGTCTCAAGTGTAGTATTTACGCAAAGGAGAAAACTTTAGGGATGTAGGGCCCACATTGTAAAGAGCTTGGAATTAGGATTTAAGGAATTTTATACTCTATCCTGCAAAATTCACAGACAAATTTGAGAACTGACTAGCATTTTAACTTGCAAAAAAAGACAAGTTAGTACAGAACTAGCACATCTAATTTTTAAAAAAGTATTTGAACTATAACATGGTGAAATCCCGTCTCTATTAAAAATACAAAAATTAGCTGGATGTGGTGGTGGGCGCCTGTAATCCCAGCTACTGTCAAGGCTGAGGCAGGAGAATTGCCTGAACCCAGGAAGTGGAGGTTGCAGTGAGCCGAAATCGCACCATTGCACTCCAGCCTGGGTGTCAAGAGCAAGACTGTCTAAAAAAAAAAAAAATCACAAAGTCAGGAGATAGCTCAGATTGTTATATATTAGTCAACAATTCTGATTGGATAACTTTGGGGTCAGTCTTGATAAAAAGAAAAACAGTATGTTTCTGTCTTTTGCATAAAAAATAACTTCACGGCTTATCTTGGAATTCAAAGCTTTTGAAATATTTCTGGTTTTCGTGGCTTATCTTAGAGTGCAAAGCTTTTAGGAATGTCAGCCTTTTCCAGACTATGGTACAGGATGGGCTTGATTAGTCGATATAGTGGGCATGATATTCGTTTTACAGACTAGAGTTCACACTAAATGGCCATAGGCTCCCATAGGGCCACCAGGTAGAGTTGTGCAGATTGTATAGGCTGTGCACTGCACAACTTTTTATGTTATGTGCACAGTGCCCTCTGGAGTTATAAAATGCAAAGTCGGCTGGACGTGGTGGCTCTCGCCTGCAATCCCAGCACTTTGGGAGGCCGAGGCAGGCAGATCACAAGGTCAGGAGTTCGAGACCAGCCTGGCCAACATGGTGAAACCCCATCTCTACTAAAATACAAAAATTAGCTGGGCGTGGTGGCATGCGCCTGTCATCCCAGCTACTCAGGAGGCTGAGGCAGGAGAATCGTTTGAACCCAGGAGGTGGAGGTTGCAGTGAGCCGAGATCGTGCCATTGCACTCCAGCCTGGGAGACAGAGCAAGACTCTGTCTCAGAAAAAAAAAAAAAAAAAAAAGCAAAGTCTACTCAGCCATACCTGGAAGCCTAGACGCCAGGCAGGTAACACAAATCAGTGAAACCTGGGGCCCTTTGAAAGGATTCCAGCAAATTTAAAAATAATGGTCAGAGCACTGTGGAGTTGTAGAAAAACAAATTTGCAGACTATGTTCAGCCTTGGAGCTCAAGTTTGGGACCTCTGCCATATAAGGTAGAGGCAGTCAATATTTTTGTCAAGGTAATGATGCAAAGAGATATGTAAAATAGATTACCATAGAGAAAAGAGGCTACAAAGAAATAAAAAAGTCAGAAAAGTACTTCAATAATCTGGGCTGAGGAAACAGGGGCCTGGCCGGGCCAGAACTATGTGGATAGACATAGAAAGAAAAGAATTAGTAGAATTTAGTGATCAGATTCAGGTTTGATTCTGAACCAAATCAATTCAGACTTGATTTCTCATAAGACAAAAAAAAAAAAAAAAGAAAGGGAGACCAGAGTAATGCAAGGTTTTGAACTTGGGTCCTTAGGAAAATACCTGGAAGAAAAATATTTACCTTGGAAATAATTTCAGATTAAAAAATAATCTTTTGACCGGGTGTGGTGGCTCACGCCTGTAATCCCGGCACTTTGGGAGGCCGAGGCAGGCAGATCATGAGGTCAGGAGATGGAGACCATCCTGGCTAACATGGTGAAACCCCGTCTCTACCAAAAACACAAAAAATCAGCTGGGCGTGGTGGCGGATGCCTGTAGTCCCAGCTACTCGGGAGGCCAAGGCAGTAGAATGGTGTGAACTCATGAGGCGGAGCTTGTAGTGAGCCAAGATCGCACCACTGCACTCCAGCCTGGTCAACAGAGTGAGACTCAGTCTCAAAAAAAAAAAAAAAAAAAAAAAACTTTTAGGATAGGATAGTAAAAATCATGTTTTGAAAGCTTATGTAATGCTGGCCGGGCACGGTGGCTCACGCATGTTGGGAGGCTGAGGCAGGCGGATCACTTGAGGTCAGGAGTTCGAGACCAACCTGGCCAACATGGCGAAACCTTATCTCTACTAAAAATACAAAAATTAGCCAGGCTTGGTAGTGGGCGCCTGTAATCCTAGCTACTGGGGAGGCTGAGGCAGGAGAATCACTTGAACCTGGGAGGCAGAGGCTGCAGTGAGCAGAGATCGAGCCACTACACTCCAGCCTGGGCAATAAAGTGAGACACCATCTTAAAAAAAAAGAAAAAAGCGCTGGGAGCAGTGGCTCACCTCTGTAATCCCAGCACTTTGGGAGGCCGAGGTGGGCGGATCATGAGGTCAGGAGATCGGGACCATCCTGGCTAACACAGTGAAATCCCATCTCTACTAAAAATACAAAAAATTAGCCGGATGTGGTGGCGGGCACCTGTAGTCCCAGCTACTCGGGAGGCTGAGGCGGGAGAATGGCGTGAACCCAGGCGGCGGAGCTTGCAGTGAGCCGAGATTGTGCCACTGCACTCCAGACTGGGTGACAGAGTGAGACTCTGTCTCAAAAAAAAAAAAAGAAAAGAAAAAAGCTTATGTAATGCTATGGCACTGCTCATAATAAAAAAAATGTGAGAAAAAAGCAGACAAGAGGAAGACAAAAATTGGAAAAAAAACTATGCAAAAACATTAACAAAATGTTATCCTCAGCAATGTGATTGTAAGTTATAAAAATTTTCTTCCTTGTACTATGTTTCCAAACTTTCTACAATGAATGTTATATTTAAAAATAGAAAAAAATACTTTTAAAGATCCTAGAGGCTTCCCTTTTACAGAAACCATAAATTCAACCTTCATTATTTTGTTTTTGTGGTAACCATTTGTGACAGTAAGTGCTAACAGGCTTGGCTTTTTGGTTTTGGAAAAATTGGTCCTTGTGTACTAAATAGAAAGTCCTTGTAATCTCGAGGAGATAAAGATTTAATGTTGCCTAGTGATACAGATTTGTTTTAGGCATTATTTTCTTATTCAAAAACTAACTTCAATTGTTTTAATGATTTTTAGAAAAGATGGTTTTCCTTTTTTTTTTTTTTTGAGATGGAGTCTCGCTCTGTCGCCCAGGCTGGAGTGCAGTGGCGTGATCTTGGCTCACTGCAACCTCCACCCCCCGGGTTCAAGCAATTCTGTGCCTCAGCCTCCCAAGTAGCTGGGATTACAGGCACCTGCCACCATGCCCAGCTAATTTTTGTATTTTTAGTAGAGATGGGGTTTCACCATCTCTGCCAGGCTGGTCTTGAACTTCTGATCTCGTGATCTACCCTCCTCGGCTTCCCAAGACGCTGGGATTACAGGTGTGAGCCACTGCGCCCGGCCTCTTTTTTTGGAATTAGCTGTTAGCCCTTCCCAAGTTGTATTCATAGCTTAAAGCCTATCTAAGCTTTTGCCAAGAACATAAAGATTTAAGCAAAACGGAATGATAACAGTATTATTCTGTTTAAGGCCGGGCATGGTGGCTCACATCTGTAATCCCAGCACTTTAGGAGGCTGAGGTGATTGGATCATCTGAGGTCAGGAGTTCCAGATCAGCCTAGCCAACATGGTGAAATCCCATCTCTACTAAAATATAAAAATTAGCTGGGTGTGGTGGTGCATGCCTGTAATCCCAGCTACTCGGGAGGCTGAGGCGGGAGAATGGCGTGAACCCAGGCGGCGGAGGCTGAGACATGAGAATCACTTGAAAAGGAGGCAGAGGTTGCAGTGAGCCAAGATCGCGCCACTGCACTCCAGCTTGGGTGAGAGTGAGACTCTGTCTCAAAAAAGAAAAAAAAAAAGAAAAGAAAAAAGAAAAAATTCTGCTTATAGCAGTGTAAAGTTTTAAAAGATGGCTTCACATAGGCCTGGCACAGTGGCTCATGCCTATAATCCCAGCACTTTGGGAGGCTGAGGCGAGTGGATCACCTGAGGTCAGGAGTTCGAGACCAGGCTGACCAACATGGTGAAACCCTGCATCTACTAAAAATACAAAATTAGCTGGACATGATGGCGCATGCCTGTAATCCCAGATATTCGGGAGGCTGAGGCAGAAGAATTGCTTGAACCAGGGAGGTGGAGATTGCAGTAAGCCAAGATCGTGCCATTGCACTCCAGCCTGGACAAGAGTGAAACTCCATCTAAAAAAAAAAAATGGCTTCACATATATTTGATGCCAGGCTCATTTGACCTTTAAGAAGAAAAACAGGATGTAATTACAGCAGATTTTTTTCAGCTCTATTTTGTGGAGAAGACATTAAGGCTCACAGAGGTAAAGTCTCTTGCTCAGTATCACAGAGTTATCAAATGGTAAAGCAAGAATTTAAATCAAGGTCTTTCAAGTAGTACAATTTTTCTTACACACGATTAATTGAAAACCATGAGGACTGTCCTTGGCCCACAGGATTGGATCTCCTTGCTGTGCTGACAGCTGGATCTGTTCATCAACTCACCACCTTTGTCCAGCCCCATGACCTGGTCAAACCTCAGGCTATCAATGTGGTACAGCGGCTCCAGTACCCAGTAAAACCCAAAATACAACAAAGGAGAACAGAAGGTAGCTAACAACTCTAATTTCTTTAACGCGCATTTGGTATTTTAAACTTTGCACCATGGTTTCCACACAAGTCCTTCTTCAAAAGAATACAAGAGTCAAAGTCTGAGATAAATAATGAAAATTATAGAAAATTTTACAAGTTTGATGTAATAGTTCACATTCCACCAGCAGAATAATTTTTTCTGTGTGAAAATCTTGTACTTATCATAAATGGTTAAATTACGGGAGCACAGTTCCTGATAACCTGAAGCAGAACTTGAAGAATTAGCTTCAGTTCCACATGGTTACAGGCTCAAAATTAGTTTTCCCTTCATACTTCTTTTATATTATCCTATTTGGCAGTTATGCTCACTTGCTGCAGGAATTTCTCATTGTTCTGTGATCAGGGGTATTCATTTGTTTTAACTCATGCTATACAGTTCGTCATGCACACATGATTTTTACTTTGAATATAATTTTGGCTGGATACATTCTCACACTGTTCTTCACACATGCTTGGGTTTTTTGTATGTATCATTTTCTTCTGACAAGATGATTAACTTCTCATGTATACTGTTTGGGTATTTGTTTATACTTTTATGCTATTACCCATACTTCTTTGCTCAGTAAACCCTTCTTACTAGATAACTTGGATATACTAGCAAATAGCTCATTTATCACCCTACTAATCACTTTAAAAGCAGCATTGCTTTCTATAAAGTTAATACTAATGTCACATACAATAAATATTTATCAAATGAATGATTAAATGGATATCAGCTAAGAAAATAGGTATTATAGCCAACTTTGAGGATGTTACAAAAAGTAGGAAATTCTAATTTTATATATGTATTTATATATAAATATATACATTCATGTAAACATATATTTATTTAAAGACATATATTTAAATAAATATATGTATTTTGGAGAGAGGGAATTTTGCTATGTTGCCCAGGCTAGTCTTGAACTCCTGGCCTCAAGCAATCCTTCCACCTCAGCCTCCCTAAGTGCTGGGATGTTAGGCGTGAGCCACTACATCCAGCCTAAAATATTTTTTGATGAGCAATAAAAATGGCTTAAGTCTAGTTGTAACTTAGAATTTGAAATATTTTAAGATACCAAGCCTAAGCAATAAAGGGTAAACTTGAAGAACAAGATTTTACAAAAATGACCCTACATGGTAACTTCTCAGAGGAAGCAGTCTACCTTCCTGTTCAAAGCCAATCCCTCCTGTATTATCTATTTCTATATAACAAATTACCCAGACTTCACAGCTTAAAACAACAAATGTCTATTACCTCACACCATTTCGGATTTGAGGAATCTGGGAGCAACATGGCAGAGTGGTTCTGGCTCAGAATGTCTCATGAGAGTTACAGCCAGATGTCAACCAGGGCTGCCATTGTCTGAAGGCTTAACTGAACTGGAGGATTCCCTTCCAAGCTCCCTCACACGGTTGTTGGCAAGAAGCCTTAGTTCCTCACCATATGTGCTTCCCCACAGATGGCAGCTGGCTTCCCCCAGAGCAAATGATCAGGGAAGAGAGAGAAAGCAAGCGAAAGTCACCAAGACAGAAGCCACAGTATATTTTATAACCTAATCTCAGAAATGACATAGTGCCATTTCTGCCACATTCAATTAGTCACTCAGACCATTGTGGGAGGGGCTGACAAAAGGGCATGACTACCAGGAGGAAGGATCATTGGTGGCCATCTTGGAGGCTGACTACCAAACTTCCCTTGTATTCTTTATGATCTTCTCCCATCTCTTCAGGAACTTTGCTGCATCCATTACCCTCTTGCTCTTACAGTTTAACTAATTCCTCTTTACTAGTTCTCCTATCTTGGTTCTGGATACTCTGAAACTATATTCTGAGGTTTCACTCTATACTTCTTGTTTTCCTTGACTCTCTTTTGCCTTGACTAGTGTGACACCATTCTTCCCTGGCTTTTATCCACTGCTGACCTTCTTCCTTTAGCTCTCTATAAATGTTGGTATTTTTGACAATTTAGTCCTCATCTCTTTTTTCTTATTCTAAACACTCTCCCTTTCTTTTTCTATGTCATTGCCCTTAGCTGCCATCTGTATGCTGATGACTTCAAAATGCAAATTCCTAGATTTGTTCTCTTTTTTTAGTTCCATTATTATATCCAATTCCTTGCTCAAGAGTCTGAAAGTCCCACAGGTTTCCCAACTGATAGCTGTGTTGGTTCTGTTTGAGGGGATTGATTACTTCTGGGAGCTTTTGATTAGGAATAGAAACATTTTTTAATAACAGTATTCCAGGCCGGATGTGGTGGCTCATCCCTATAATCCTAACACTTTTGGAGGCTGAGGTGGGAGGATCACTTCGGGCCAGGAGTTCCAGACCAGTCTGGGCAACAGAGGGTGACTCCATCTCTACAAATAAATAAACGAACAAATATTTTAAAAAGTATGTAACTCCAAAATGAGTTGCATCTATTTGGTACAATCCCTAGGGCAAAGGCAAGATGGAATGTGGAAACAGCAAAAGTTTCCCTTTTTTTTCAGAGGACGCCACTGATATGTGCACCAAACCATTATTTATAGTTTTAGCTCATCATAAAAGCAGAAGGCTCACCCTAATTACCAGTTTATGCAGAAAATATAAAAGAGCTGCGCCCAGCCTCATAATCCACTTCTGTCTGCCAGCACCTTCTTCAGATACTTCATGGTGCCTATCCCAAGACTCAGAACCTTACCAAATCCACTCCTACGCAAATTGTTCAAGACCAACTCCTCCCTGGAATGCTCTAGATTTCAGACCTAAATTTCTCCTAAACCAATGTTATGAAACCAAGTTCTAAGAGCTGTGTCCCCCAGGGTGTCTCTAGCATAGACACTCTACATCCTGCAGCTATTGTCCCCACATTTCTATGATGTAACTGTGCTGTGAGCAAGAGTTCATAATGCAGTACAACATTTGCATATAATGCAATAATTATGCACTAAATATTATAATTATGGAATAACATCATTAGGCCCAATCACAAGCTACATGCAGCAGTAGCCTGCTCATACACATACAATATCAGAAACTGTTTTCACTTGCAAGTCGATATTGAAGCGGTAAAGTTTCCCTGTCCCCCTCGCAGAGCATGCAATGGGGGTGTGGCTCACTTCTTCAGTGCCTGGCTGCTCAGACCTCTAGGGGAGCATACAGACAGGCAGGCTGTGGGGCTCCGACCCCACGGCAGTGTCTAGGGGTGAATGTTTACGGCTCCTGAAGCCCCAGTGGGCATGTTACAGGATGCTTTTAGTTTACCGTCTTGTGTTAACCAGCTCAATTAGACCCTCTACCTTGTTGCAAGGACAGAGAGCTTTCTGTATCCCGGGTTCTTGCCTTGGTGTAGTGGAAGACTCGGATCACACGTGGACTTGGAAAATGAGTGCAAAGTTTTACTGAGCGGGAGCAGCTCTCAGCCGATGGAGGAGCCAGAAGGGAGATAGTCTTCCCCTGGAGTTGGGCCACTGGGCAGCCCTGGCTCTCCTCCGACTGTCCCGGCCAAACTGCACCTCCTCCCGCCTGCCGGTGGCGTCCCACCAGTCGATGGCCTGCCGACGTGCTGGTGCCTGCTGGTATGCTGGTGCCTGCTGATATGCTTTTCTCCTGGTGTGCTCCTTTCAACGACCAGCCACTTGCATCTTCTTCCACCAACGCCTTCCTCACAATGTCCAGCCACTGTGTCTGCCTGCCAGGGTCTCTGGTTTTTACAGGCCCAGGATGGGGGCGTGGCAGGCCAGGATGGTCTTGGGAAATGCAACATTTGGGCCGGAAATGCCTGTCCTCACCTAGGTCCGTGGGGGTGGAGCCCTAGGCAGGGACCACACCTTTCTCTATCCAGCACTTCCCTTCCTCCCTTTTGTATTGTTTAAAGGGACCACAATCTTCCCTTTCCAGCACTCCAGTATCAAAATGTATCCTTAATCAGGAACAAAACCTGATGTCAGGTGGATAGATGTTTCCTCTTATTCAAGCTATGAACCTTATTTTCACCAGTGAAATGATTGGCATTGAGATTGAGCACTCAGAACTTCTCCACATGCTTGAATCTCTAGAGCCTCAATGGTCAGGCTGATGAAATCATTTCTGTACTTCAAACCCATCTAAGTGGAAGAGGCTGCCTAGAAGCCAGTTAGTAGTGCCACAGTTCTAAAGTTTAAAACTGGTCGGGGACCACAAGAAGAAACACATTTCATCCAAGGAAACATCCCTCCCCTCCCCTGCCTTCCCCTCCCCTCCCCTCCGCTGCCCTACCCTGCCCTTCTTTTTTTCTTTCTTTCAACTATAGAGGTGAGGTCTCACTGTATTGCCCAGGTTGGTATCAAGCTCTTGGGCTCAAGCGATCCACCAGCCTCACCCAGTCAAAGTGCTGGGACTACAGATGTGTGCCACCACGCTCTGCTAGAAACGTGGGTTTCTAAACGTTAAAAATTTTCGGCCTGACGCGGTGGCTCAGGCGTGTAATCCCAGCACTTTGGGAGTCCGAGGCAGGCGGATCACCTGAGGTCAGGAGTTTGAGACCAACCTGGCCAACATGGTGAAACCCCGTCTCTACTAAAAATACAAAAATTAGCCAGGCGTGGTGTCAGGTGCCTGTAATCCCAGCTACTTGGGGAGGCTGAGACAGGAGAATCGCTTGAACCCAGGAGGTGGAGATTGCAGTGAGCCGAGATCGCGCCATTATGCTCCAGCCTAGGGGACAAGAGCGAGACTTCGTCTCAAAAAAAAAAAAAAAAAAAAATTCAGGGGACAGCCATGGTGGCTCACACCTGTAATCCCAGCACTTTGGGAAGCCAAGGCAGGCGGATCACTTGAGGTCAGGAGCTCAAGACCAGCTTGGCCAACATGGTGAGACCCCCCCATTTCTACTAAAAATACAAAATATTAGCCAGACATGGTGGTTTACACCTGTAATCCCAATTACTCGGGAGGCTGAGGCAGGAGAATAGCTTGAACCCAGGAGGTGGAGGTTGTAGTGAGCCGAGATTGCACCACTGCACTCCAGCCTGGGCAACAGAGCGAGAATCCATCTCAAATAGATAAATAAATAAATTTAAAAATAAATATAATAAAATTAATTTTTAAACAGGAAGAAAAATTGAAATATTTGTACTGAGAAAAATGCCATGTCCAACAAACTTAATGCTAGTCCTAGATTGTTTAGGTAGCTTTATAAAGGCAGGGAGGAAGGAAGGGAAAGAAAGAGGGTAAAAAGAAAAAATACATAAAGGAGGCCTCCTTATCCAGAAATCAATGAGAAAGGTTGGAGGCTTTGGTTCTGGATACCCCAAAACTATCTTTTCAAGTTGATCAACATTCTTTCATCTCATAGTGCTACTTTATATATATTGAGATTGCAGAAATTTATGGCTGATATGTTTGTAGTTTGGTATGTTGAGAATGCTTTCATAATTAAGACATACATACATTTTTTGTAGATGCATGTAATCTCGATGTTTGAACGTTTGAATGATTGACTGAAAAGAAGACACAAACAATTTCAAACAGTGTCTCTGGTACCAGGACAAACCAGGAACATTCTGATCCTAGAGTTGTTTAAACAAAGACTGGAGAGTACTGCCTTCTTTGGCGTACCAGAACCCACAGTAAAGTGGTAAATTACTGTGTAACCAGATGGGACCTTCAAGTCCAACACTATCAAATTATAAAGAAGAATTTCAGTAGCAGCTCGGATTACAACCTCACTCACTCCACTGAGCCACTCTGAGTATTGCAAAACACTTATAGGATGCAGGTATTGGTAAGGCGATTCTAATCAATGTCCTAATGTGTTTTTTCAAAAGTGTATTCTTGCAAACCTAGTTTTAAGACATCATGACCCTGGCATGAATCACAAGATCAAAAAAGCCTTCTGAGATTCTGCAAACATGGTATCTCTATCTCCTTGATGTTCACCTGTAACATTCCAGACAGGCTGTTGAGATTGAGGTAGAGATAGAGTGGGCAGCCTGAAGAAAATTGTAAATGTTTGTAAAACCCTCCGAGGGGATTTGGTGAAGCAGATGGCCCAGACCAAATAAAAAGACTGCCAAGCTGTGTTGGAGGTTCACCTGATTTTAGAGGGCATGGATTTATTGTGGCTATTGCATACTAGACCCCTTGAGTTTCTTTTCACATTTGCTCCTCATGACATCTTAATATGTAAATATAATTTTCCTGATTATGCAGGATTTAAATCACTAATACAAGCTGCCACCGCTAGTTAGGGTTTTGTAGTTGCAAACAACAGCAAATCACTTTTATCACAAGATAAAAGGGATTTCATTGGAAAAATATGTGGAAACAAGAGGGGCAAAACAAAGGGGGAGGTTAATGAACCAATATGTAAAAAACAAAACCAAAGCATTTCACAGGCCTCAGTAGTAGAAATGAATAGATTGATTATTTAGGACATAGCTGCCTGTATATTGCTTAATATCTTTGGATCACTCCACCCCAGAGTCCAATTCCAGAGAGAGGGGATGGTGGGGAGACACTGTCTGGCTTAGCTAGAGGCATATTCTTAGTTGGGGAGCTGCCTCCAAGACTGGAATACAGCATGGTGCAGATTAAGATGGTTTTGCCAAAGAAAGGAGGCTGGATAATGGTGAGCAAAAATGAGCATATGTCCACTGCAGATCACATATTTGTCAGATGTGAAACCTAATGTTATATGTTCTTTAGCTAGGTCTGTTGTCGTCTGGATGATTATAGCACAAGTGAAACAGAAGACTAAGAGATTTGAAGGCGTTAATGCTGGAAATAGTGATGGATAGTCACTATATTTCTGAGCTAGGGAAGAAAATGAGGCCAGAAGATAATTTGGAAACCAGGAGAACTGAGACAAGGTGGGTTTAAATCAAGTTTAGCTTAAAGCTGCCTTCTCACATGTTTAAGTTTGGCCTACAGGTTTTTCTGTACATCATGAACTGTAAAAAGTGGAGGTATACAGCCCACATCCGTGCCAATCACTGAGTTTTGGCCAATCAAATGTAGCCAAATGTTCAAACTGTGTTCAAGTAAGGCAAATGCCAAGCTGTAACCAATCCAGTTGTTTCTGTACTTCACTTCTGTTTTCTGTTCGTCACTTTCATTTTGCTGTCCATAAATCTTCTTCCACCAGGTAGCTACGCTGGATTCACTACGAATCTGCTGTGATTCTGGGGGTTGCCCTATTCGCAAATTGTTCATTGTTTAGCTAAACTTCTTTACATTTAACTCAGCTGAAGTTTTTTTCTTTTAACAGTGGTAAGAAATTTCTAAGAATCTTCTGAGATTTTTTTTTTTTTTTGAGACAGAGTCTCCCTCTTTTTGAGACATTGTTTCACCATGTTGGCCAGGCTGGACTCGAACTCCTGACCTCAAGTGATTCGCCTGCCTCGGCCTCCCAAAATGCTGGGATTACAGGAGTGAGCCATTATGCCTGGCCGAATCTTCTGAGATTATGCCAGAAATTATTATTATATTTTTTGAGATGGAGTTTCGCCCTTTTGCCCAGGCTGGAGTGAAGTGGCGTGATCTTGGCTTACTGCAACCTCTGTGCCCAGGTTCAAGCAATTCTCCTGCCTCAGCTTCCCAAGTAGCTGGGACTACAGGTGCCCACCACCACTCCTGGCTAATTTTTGTATTTTTAGTAGAGTTGGGGTTTCACCATGTTGGCCAGGCTGGTCTCGAACTCCTGACCTCAGGTGACCCACCCGCCTTGGCCTCCCAACGTGCTAGGATTACAGGCGTAAGCCACCATGCCCGGCCTATTATGCCAGAAATTCTATGATGTAAACCAAGCAAGAGGCATGCCATGAGAAATTGAGGTGCTATGAAGGGTCATCAAAGAGCAAATAAAGTTCCAATTGTGTTTTAGTTTCATGTATTTATTTATTTAAAATAGAACCAGGGCCGGGCGCGGTGGCTCATGTCTGTAATCCCAGCACTTTGGGAGGCCGAGGCAGGAGGATCACGAGGTCAGGAGATCAAGACCAGCCAGACCAACATGGTGAAACCCCGTCTGTACTAAAAATACAAAAAATTAGCTGGGCGTGGTAGCAGGCGCCTGTAGTCTCAGCTACTCGGAAGGCTGAGGCAGCAGAATGGCGTGAACCTGGGTGGCGGAGCTTGTAGTGAGCTGAGATCGCACCACTGCACTCCAGCCTGGATGACAGAGCCAGACTCCGTCTCAAAAAAAAATAATAATAAATAAAATAAAATAAATAAATAAATAAATAAAATAGAGCCAGGTACAGTGGCTCACTCCTATAATCCCAGCACTTTGGGAGGCTGAGGCTTTAGCCCAGAAGTTTGAGACCAGCCTGGGAAATATAGCGAGACCCTGTCTGTGTAAAAAAAGTTTTTAAATTAAATTAGCCCGGCACGGTGGGACATGCCTATAGTTCCAGCTACTCTAGAGGCTGAGATAGGAGGATCACTTATACCCAGGAGATTGAGGCTGCAGTGAGGTATGTTCACGCCACTGCATTCCAGTCTGGGCGACAGAGCAAGACCCTGTCTCAAATGAATAGAATAGAATAGAATAGAATAGAATAGAATAGAATAGAATAGGCCATACTGTCATTTATTTATTTATTTTTTTTGAAAATACAGATGGGAGCCGGGCATGGTGGCTCATGCCTGTAATCCCAACACTTTGGGAGGCCAAGGTGGGAAGGTCCCCTGAGGTCAGTAGTTCAAGACCAGCCTGGCCAACATGGTGACACACCATCTTTACTAAAAATACAAAAATTAGCTGGGAGTGGTGGTATACACCTGTAGTCCCAGCCCCTCAGGAGGCTGAGGCAGGAGAATCACTTGAACTCAGGAGGCAAAGGTTGCAGTGAGCCAAGATCCCACCGCTGCACTCCAGCCTGGGTGACAAGGCAAGACTCTGTCTCCAAAAAAAAAAAAAACAAAACAGACAGGGTCTCACTAAGTTAGCCACACAGGTCTCTAACTACTGGCCTCAAGCAATCCTCCTGCCTTAGTCTCTCAAAGTGCTAGGATTATAGGCATGACCCACTATGCCCAGCCATTTTTATGAGACGGGGTCTGGCTTTGTTGCCCTGACTGGAGTGCAGTGACACAATCTAAGCTCGCTGCAATGTCTGCCTCTTGGGCTCAAACCATCCTTCCATCTCAGCCTCCTGAATAGCTGGGACTACAGCTGTGCGCCACCACGCCCAGCTAATTTTTTTTGTATTTTTGGTAGAGATGGGGTTTTCCCATGTTGCCCAGGCTGGTCTCAAACTCCTGGCCTTAAGTGATCCTCTCGCCTTGGCCTCCCAAAGACCAAGGATTACAGGCACACCTGGGATTACACTGTTCAACCACTGGCTCAAGAAAAGCAGAAAGTCTTCTCAATGGCTCAAAATTCATTTTATGTTCAATGACAGGCCTTCTGCAAATTGAGACTCTGAGCTCGTTAGGGTAGTGACTGTAATTCTTCCTAGACACAGAAGGCCAACAGGGTGATTGTCACAACAGCACTGAGCAAAAGCCATTACATATTAGTAGCCAATGAGAATCAAGATTCAGGACCCTGCAGAGGAGAGCACTCTCATATGCCAGCAAGCAGAGTGGTGGAAGGGGAGCTTGGGTGCATGCTCATCCATTACAGCCAGTGGGAGGCTCTGAAGTCTAAGTAAGATGAAGACGCACTGCTGTACTGGTTGGCACCTAGGCAGTAAGTAACAATTCACTAGATAAAATTTTAGGTGGAACTACAGATTTGAAAAGTTCTGGGATGCAATATAATATCTATGGGAGCATTGCTATTAACATGAAAAGTCAGTATCTTGAAAACAAGTAGGGTCCCCTCCCCTGGAATATTGAAGAGATATGAAGACTGTATCTTCAAGTACCTGAGGGGAGACCTAATACAACGAGTTCTGTGACTTTCTGCCAGACCCGGTGCAGGGAATCCATGAACTGGTCAGGCCTCCTGCTCTGCTTGGGGACCCATAGCCAGAAAATGTGCTTTAGGTTCTAATACAGTCAGAATTACATTAATTATTTGGTTTACTGAAAACTCAGGCCAGGTGCAGTGGTTTACATCTGTAATCCCAACGCTTTGGGAAGCTGAGGCTGGAGGATTGCTTGAGCCCAGGAGTTGAAGACTAGCCTGGGCAACATAGGGAGACCCCCGTCTCTATAAAAAATAAAAAATTAGCTGGGCATGGTGGTGTGCACCTGTAGTTCCAGCTCCTCGGGAAGCTGAGGTGGGAGCATCCCTTGATCCCGATCCCAGGAGGTTGAGGCTGCAGTGAGCTATAATCACACCACTGCACTCCAACCTGGGTTGGAGACTCTGGAAAATAAAAATATAAAGAGAGAGAGAGAGAGAGAAAGAAAGAAAGATAGATTAAAAAAGAAAGAAAGAAAGAAAGAAAGAAAGAAAGAAAGAAAGAAAGAAAGAAAGAAAGAAAGAAAGAAAAAACTTAAGCAAGAGGGAGACAGGTCATTACCATAGCCTTTTTTTTTTTTTTTTTTTAAATCTGGGACAGAGTCTCCCTCCGACTCCCAGGCTGGAGTGCAGTGGTGTGATCTCAGCTTACTGCAATCTTTGCCTCCCGAGTCAAGCAATTCTCCTGCCACAGACTCCCAAGTAGCTGGGATGTCTTGCTCTGTCGCCCAGGCTGGAGTGCAATGGCACAATCTCAGCTCATTTCAACCTCCGCCTACCGGGTTCAAGCAGTTCTCCTGCCTTAGCCTCCCAAGTAGCTGGGATGACAGGCATGCAACACCAAATCTGGCTAAATTTTGTATTTTTAGTAGAGACAGGGTTTCTCCATGTTGGCCAGGCTGGTCTCGAACTCCCGACCTCAGGCGATCTGCCCACCTCAGCCTCCCAAAGTGCTGGGATTACAGGCTTGAGCCACCGTGCTGGTCCCTGTCATAACTATTAAAACAAAAAACAAAAAACAGCTACTCAAGATACTTGATAGCTTTTTGTTGAGCAAAGGAAAAATGAAAACTCTATTGATGATGGCATTTATAAATAAGAATGTCTGAAGATTATTTTATGAACTGACATTATTTTTTCTTCCCATCCCTTCTTCCCAAAGAACTGCCCTTTATGACTCCAGGGAATGCCCTCAAACAAGAGTGCTAGCAGAAACCTAGAGGCAAACTGTCTTAGGTTCCAAAAGATAGCCTGACTGGTAAAAGAAATTGAAAACAGGTGTTTTCATTTGCTTTGTATTAAAAGAATTGAAAGGCCGGGCACGATGGCTCATGCCTGTAATCCCAGCACTTTGGGAGGCTGAGGCGGGCAGATCACAAGGTCAGGAGATGGAGACCATCCTGGCTAACACGATGATACCCTCTCTCTACTAAAAATACAAAAAATTAGCCAGGCGTGGTGGCAGGCACCTGTAATCCCAGCTACTCGGGAGGCTGAGGCAGGAGAACTGCTTGAACCCAGGAGGCGGAGGTTGCAATGAGCTGAGATCGTGCCATTGCACTCCAGCCTGGGCGACAGAGCAAGACTCCATCTCAAAAATAAAAATAAAAAAAGGAAACTATCTCAGAGGAAATTTGCCATTTATGAGAAAAGTAGAGCGTAGTTAAAATGAATCTTCTGAGTTATGGGGAAGAACAGTATCTCCATCTCTTATGTTTCCAGATGCAGCAACTTCAGGTAGGTGAGTGGCTTTCTACCTCACTGCACATTGGTTCCCTGGGTGGCTTTGAACTGTGAGATTGGCTGAGAATCACTGAGTATCTCCCTGTTCCTCATTCGCCCCTCCCCAGGGAAATAGGAGTGAGCAGTCAGACATGTGAGTTAGTAAGAACAGACTGAGCTCAGCCCTTCCTCCACCTTTCTAGACCTGTGTGTTACAGGGAGTGGATCTGCTTCCTATGACCCTGCCTTTGCTGAGAAGCCTGTGTTGTTCAGCTGTGCCAGCAACCAGGCGGGGATGTCTGGGGAAAGTGTGAGCCTGCCCACTTGGCCACATCTTCCAGTTGACTTTATTAAGGTGATATTTTGATGCTCACTTATCCTGACTCCTGTATTTCTCTCAATTGATTCTGAATTCAAGAGGAAGAAAGATACTCTGAATTCAAGAGGAAGAAAGATACTCTGAATTCAAGAGGAAGAAAGAAAGATAAATATATTAGCCCACCAAGGAAGGAATTTTTGGCTGGTCTAAACTTTTGCCCCAGACCCAGGGACCCTGGGGATATGACCTTAGATTTACCTTCTTGCCACTCTGCTCCCCAGAATGTATTGATACAAGATAAACTTGGAATGTTAGCAGGTCAGATTGCCCCTGGCTTACAGAAGCATTCATTGTGAAACCCCTGATTGATGAGTTGCAGCTGCCCTGTTAGGCATGTGATTTAGCACTTTCTCCCAGAGGCTATGCAGCAAGCATGGACTACACATAGGTAGAGAATGGAAAGGGTGGCTGCCCAGAGGTCAAGTCTTCTGCACACGCTTCAGCCTCACCTCTTGCAGCTGAGCATGCTGTGTGGTGGAGGGGCATGGAAGCTGCACCCAGCATTGCCAGACATCAGAAGGTCTCTGCTGTTTAGCTGTGTGCATTGTTTACCGTGTACCTTTTAAGGCTAAGTAAACTGTGACTTGTGAGTCTTTTTTTTAAAAATCAATTTTGATCTTAGGACTAACAGATATTGAGTAACATGTATAGCAAATAGTCCACTAAATTCCTACACCTGAGTCCTGCCCTTCAATAATTGGATTATTAAAGTTGTTTGTTCAATCACTTACTTGTAGTCAATTCTGTAGGTTAGCTCACCTGTCACTCATTCCAACTCTTATTTCAATTTTCCTTCCTTCTTTAGAGAAGGAGGAAAGCTAAAAACTTCCCTTCTCAGATTTCCTTGTAGCTAGGGGTGGTCCCATGACTCAATTCTGGCTAACAAAATGTAAGCTGAATTTTGCTGGTACTGCCTCTTCCATTTCTTTTTTCCTGCCTGGAACCGGTGAGGATGCCTGAGGCTCAGCAGTCATTGCTAAGCATGGTAGTGATCAGGACACTAGGGGTCAGTTTCCTTGCTGGCATTGTTGAGGCCATCACAATCAGCCTTGAGCTTCCCGTTCCCAGATTTCCTGCTATAGGAGACAGAGAGATCCCTTACTTGTTTAAGCGGTCAAGTGCAATTCTAACGGATATATTTATAAATTCAATTTCCACGTGTGGTAGGAAGAATAAAGGTCCCCTAAACATGTTCGTGTCCTAATCCTTGTGACCTGCAAATATGTTAACTTACATGGCAAGAGGGATTTTGCAGGTGTGACTAAATTAAGGCCCTCAAGGTAGGAAGAGTATCCTTGATCCTCCAGGCAGGCTCAAGGTAATTGTAAAGGTCCTTACAACTGAAAGAGGGAGGACGAAGGGGTTGTCAGAGAAAGAGATATGACAACAGAAGTAGGGTCAGAGAAACGTTTGTTGCTCGCTTTGAAGAAGGAGAAAAGGGGCTGTGAGCCAAGGAATGTGGGTAACCTCTAGAAGCTGGAAAAAGAAAGGAAACAGATTCTTCCCTAGAGCCTCAAGAAGGAATTCAGCTCTTCCAGTATCTTGGTTTTTAGTCTAGTGAGACCTGTGTCAGATTTCTAATATACTGAATCATAAGATGATAAATTTGTATTGTGTTAAGTGACTAAATTTGTGGTAATTTGTTACAGCGGAAGAGAAAATTAATACACTATATTATGACCTTTTAATATAAAATTATGATAGGTCAAAAGAAATTAAAATTTTCAGTGCAAGATTCCTCTAGTTTTTAAAATCAAGACCAAGCAAAAAAAGATGGAACTTTTTTTTTTTTTTTTTTTTTTTGAGATGGAGTCTCACTCTGTTGCCCAGGCTGGAGTGCAGTGGTGCTATCTCAGCTCACTGCAAGCTCCACCTCCCGGGTTCACGCCATTCTCCTGCCTCAGCCTCCCAAGTAGCTGGGACTACAGGCGCCTACCACCACACCTGGCTAATTTTTTTGTGTTTTTAGTAGAGATGGGGTTTCACTGTGTTAGCCAGGATGGTCTCGATCTCCTGACCTCATGATCCGCCCACCTTGGCCTCCCAAAGTGCTGGGATTATAGGCGTGAGCCACCGCGACCGGCCTTCGTTTTTAGAATTTAAAAAAAATCCCCACAAACCTAGAAAAAGACTGATTTTTTTTTTTTTTAAACAGAGTCTCACTCTGTCACCTAGGCTGGAGTACAGTGGCGTGATCTGGGCTCACTGCAACCTCCGCCTCCTGGGTTCAAGCGATTCTCCTGCTTCAGCCTCCCGAGTTGCTGGGACTACAGGCATGTACCACCATGCCCAGGTAATTTTAGTATTTTTTGGTAGAGACGGGGTTTCACCATGTTGGCCAGGCTGGTTTTGAACTCGTGACCTCAGGTGATCCACCCGCCACAGCCTCCCAAAGTACTGGGATTACAGGTGTGAGCCACTGTGCCCAGCCGAGACTGAAATTTTTATAGCATGGTACCAACTAAACACCAATGCTTGTTTTAAACCTGTTGTAATTGATCAGTGATAGCTCCTTCAGCAAACACATCTAGGTAACAGAAAATGAACTTCTGTAACCCATGCTTTTATGACTGATTTTCCAAACTACTCCTGCCTCAGTAACCAATACACCCCATAACAAACCCTTCCCATAAAGCCTATATGTTTTTTGAGACGGAGTCTCGCTCTGTTGCCCAGGCTGGAGTGCAGTGGTGCAATCTCGGCTCACTGCAAGCTCTACCTCCTGGGTTCACGCCATTCTCCTGCCTCAGCCTCCTGAGTAGCTGGGACTACAGGTGCCCGCCACCAGACTCAGTTAATTTTTTTGTATTTTTAGTAGAGATGGGGTTTCACCGTGTTAGCCAGGATGGTATCGATCTCCTGACCTCATGATCCACCTGCCTCAGCCTCCCAAAGTGCTGGGATTACAGGCATGAGCCACCATACCCAGCCAAAGCCTGTATTTTCTTTGTTCAACAAGACTAATCAGCATAGCTTTGGGTTGGTGATCTCATCCTTTGATATACTGTATATTTTTCCTAAACAAAGGGAGACTTCATTTAACAAGGGTCAAGGCAAATACAGAATATCTAGTAGATAAAAGCAGAGTACCAAGTTTTGTACTATTCAATGAAGGGAGGTAGGAAAGTGGTATATGATAATTTGTTTTAATTATGTGAAGAAATAACTTTATGTATTGGTTTGAAACTCTTGATTTTTTCCTATGTTTTTATTTGAAAAACAAAAATGCTAAAAATGAATAAAATCCTTCATGATCCCACCATCTTCATATTTGAAATATTTAAAAAAGTAAAAGTCTTCCCCTTGTCTCCTTTCTAGCAATCCCATCCAACAGATGTAATTGCTATTAATAATTCTAGCCAGGCGTGGTGGCACACACCTGTAGTCCCAGCTACTGAGGAGGCTGAGGCAGGAGAATTGCTTAAACCCAGAAGGTGGAGGCTGCAGGGAGCTGACATTGCACCACTGCACCCCAGCCTGGTCGACAGAGTGAGACCCTGTCTCAAAAAAATAAAATAAAAATAAAAAGTTGTGTGTATCCTTTCAGATGTATACTTAGGCACGGGGTGTTATAATAAATCTATTTTAACCAACTGCCATAGTTGCTGGGGCCTTTAGAACCTATTTTATGTAATTGGATATAGTTTAGTAACTTCAGCATGCTTGTGAGCTTCTTGAGAACAGCAGCCAGGATACACTAATCTCTGTATAACAGATAATATTAAATAATAGGTTTCCAGCAAATACTGACTAATTGAATTAAGAATTAGGAATTTCTCTAATAAGATCCCACTTAATCTCTGGTATAAGAATACAATTTGTGGTCCTAAAGAGATGTGGGTTCAGATACTGGATCCAACTGTAGTAGCCTCTCTGGCATCTGAATGTTTAAAGTTCTGGGACAGCCTTGCTCAAAGAATAGTCAGCTGGTGGTCTATCAAGTAGTCAAGAGAGTTTGGCCATTTCAGAGGAAAAAAATAAAGAAGTATAATAATTTTGTTCAAATACATTTTATCAATGTGAAATTAAGATTAAGAATTATTTTTGGCTGGGTGCGGTGGCTCATGCCTGTAATCCCAGCACTTTGGGAGGCCGAGGTGGGTGGATCACGAGGTCAGGAGACCAAGACCATCCTGGCTAACACAGTGAAACCCCATCTCTACTAAAAATACAAAAAATTAGCTGAGCGTGGTGGTGGGTACCTGTAGTCCCAGCTACTCGGGAGGCTGAGGCAGGAGAATGGTGTGAACCTGGGAGGTGGAGCTTGCAGTGAGCTAAGATCACACCACTGCACTCCAACAGAGTGAGACTCCATCTCAAAAAAAATTTTTTTTACAGAAATTCTGCTATATTTTCAGTGTATCATTTATTTTTATTTTTTTGAGACAGGGTCTCACTCTTGCCCAGGCTGGAGTACAGTGGTGAGATCATGGTTCACTGCAGCCTTGACCTCCCAAGTTCACTCTATCCTCTCACCTCAGCCTCCTGAATACCTGGAACCTCAGGAGTGTGCCACCATGCCCTGCTAATTTTAAAATTTTTTGTAGAGATAGGATCTTACCATGTTGTCCAGGGTTGTCTTGAACTCCTGGGCTAGAGCAATCCTCCCCTCTTGGCCTCCCAAAGTGTGGGATTACAAGTGTGAGCCACTGTACCCGGTCCATTATTTACTTTTAAATTAGATGTGACTTTCATAAGACTCAAAATTGAAAAAGGTTAAAGATAAACAGTATAAGGTCTCCCCCTAACCACATCCCCTAAGCCAGTATTGATCAGCATGTGTATCCCCTTACAGAGATATTTTACAGTATACAAGAAAACACACACACATACACAAATACACACACATTTTGCCCCCCGCCTTTTTTTTTTTTTTTTTGAGACGGAGTCTTGCTTTGTCACCCAGGCTGGAGTGCAGTGGCACGATCTCAGCTCACTGCAACCTCCACCTCCTGGGTTCACGCCATTCTCCTGCCTCAGCCTCCCGAGTAGCTGGGACCACAGGTGCATGCCACCATGCCTGGCTAATTTTTTGTATTTTTAGTAGAGATGGGGTTTCACCGTGTCAGCCAGGATGGTCTTGATCTCCTGACCTCGTGATCTGCCCGTCTTGGCCTGCCAAAGTGCTAGGATTACAGGCATGAGCCACCACACCCGGCCCATTTTGCTCTTTTTTACACAAGCAACATAAGCTATACACTTTTCTGCACCTTACTTGTTCCATGAAACAGTATATCTAGGACAATGGTCTCCTACTTTTTTGACACTAGGGACTGGTTTTGTGGAAGACAATTTTCCATGAATCAGGGTGGGGAGGGATGGTTTCAGGATGATTCAAGCGCATTACATTTATTGTGCACTTTATTTCTATCATTATTATATTGTAATATATAATGAAACAATTATACAACTTGCCATAATGTGGAATCAGTGGGAGCCCTGAGCTTGTTTTCCTGCAATAAGATGGTCCCATATGGGGGTGATGGGAGACAGTAACAGATCATCGGGCATTAGATTCTCATAAGGACACTCAACCTAGATTCCTGAATGCTCTGGTCATGATAGGGTTCATGCTCCTATGATAATCTAGTGCCACCGCTGATCTGACAGAAGGTGGAGCTCAGGTGGTAATGTGAGTGATGGGGAGCAGCTGTAAATACAGATGAAGCTCTGCTTGCTTGCTCACTGCTCACCACCTGCTGTGGGGTCCACTTCCTGACAAGCCACAGACCAGTAGGATTGGGGACCCCTGGTCTAGGACTCTCCTCCCTCCCTCCCTCCCTTCCCTTCTCTCTTTCTCTCTCTCTCTCTCATCTAGGACTCTTTCTTTCTCTCTTCCTTTCTTTCTTTCTTGCTTTCACTGTCTCTCATCTAGGACTCTCTCTCTCTCTCATCTAGGACTCTTTCTTTTTTTTCCTTCCTTCCTTCTCTCCTTCCTTCCTTCTCTCTCCCTCCCTCCCTCCCTCCCTTCCTTCCTTCCTTCCTTCCCTCTCCCTCTCTCCCTCCCTCCCTCCCTCCTTCCTTCCTTCCTTCCTTTCTTCCTTCCTTCCTTCCTTCCTTCTCTCTCTCTTTCTTTCATTTTCTCTCTTTCTCTCTCTTGTCTAGG
Source organism: Homo sapiens (assembly GCF_000001405.40). Classification (NCBI taxonomy): domain Eukaryota; kingdom Metazoa; phylum Chordata; class Mammalia; order Primates; family Hominidae; genus Homo; species Homo sapiens. The sequence continues at coordinate 31,767,771 of NC_000012.12, read as the reverse complement.
ACTCTCTCTCTCTCTCTCTTTTTTTTTTTTGTTGAGATGGAGTCTTGCTGTTGCTCAGCCTGGAGTGCAATGGTGTGATCTCGGCTCACTGCAATCTCTGCCTCCTGGGTTCAAGTGATTCTCCAGCCTCCGCCTCCCAAGTAGCTGGGATTACAGGCACACACCACCATGCCTGGCTAATTTTTTTTTTTTTTTGGATTTTTAGTAGAGATGGGGTTTCACTATGTTGGCCAGGCTGGTCTCAAATTCCTGACCTCAAGTGATCTGCCCGCCTTGGCCTCCTGAAGTGCTGGGATTACAGGTGTAAGCCACCCACCGCACCCAGCCTCTTTCTCTCCCTCCCCTCCTCTTTCTTTTAATTTTTAGTAGAGGTGGGGTTTTACCATGTTGGCCAGGCTGGTCTTGAATTTCTGACCTCCAGTATTCTGCCTGCCTTAGCCTCCCAAAGTGCTGGGATTACAGGCATGAACCACCATACCTGGCCTAGGACACTTTCCATATCAGTAGACAAAGAACAGCTTCATTCTTTTTCATAGCTGCAGAGAATTCTTGAATGGATACAAAGACTGTTTTCTTAATTACAAAGAAGATTTTAATAAATAGCTTTGTACAAATGTCAATTTAGGCTTTCCTCTTCGTTTTGACTAGTTTTCTATCATTTCCCTTCTTCATCAAACGTACGTTGAATTTTTATTTTTTTCTGTTTGAACTTTCAAATCAGCCTGTCTTTTTTTTAAAAAAATCCTTAGAATTTGGGAGAGGAGTTATTATAAATTAATTTAGAAAGAATTGAAGTTTTATCATGTTGAAGCATCCTATATTATCAAGTTATGCCTTTTTATTTGTTCAAACCTTCTCTTTTTTTGAGACAGTCTGGCTCTGTTGCCCAGACTGGAGTGCAGTGGCACAGGCTTGGCTTACTGCAACATCTGCTTTCTGGTCTGAAGCCATCCTTCCACCTCAGCCTCATGAGTAGCTGGGACTAAAGGCTCAAGCCAGTAACGCCCGGCTAATTTTTGTATTTTTTGTAGAGACAGGGTTTCACCATGTTGGCCAGGCTGGTCCCAAACTTCTGAGCTCAAGTGATCCACCCACGTTGGCCTCCCAAAGTGTTGAGATTACAGGTGTGAGCCACCACGCCTGGCTGCAAACCATCTTTTATTTCCTTTAGTAGCGAGTTTAAAGTTTTCTTCGTTTAGATTTTGCACATTTATTGTTAGATTATTCCCAGAAATTATTTTTCTGTTGCTATTGTAAATAGATGTTTTTGAACTGCTTATTGTTTGTATATATGAAAATGATTGATTTTGACTGTTAATGTCATGCTAGTCCACCTGAATTCTCTTATGATCTATAAAATTTTGTGTTTTTCTCTCAGGTTTTTCCATGTATATAATCCTATCATCTAGAAATAATTTATAAAATTACCACATCCTTTCCCTGTAAAACCATTTTTTCCCTTTTCTAAAAGTTTAATTCTGTTATAATAAACTTAAAACTTAACCATATTTTTGAGATATAATTCAAGCACAAATAAATTTCACCATTTTAAAGTGTGTAGGTCAGTGATTTTTAGTGTAGTCACAAGGTTGTACAACCATCACCACTAGTTTCAAAACATTTTTATCATCCCAAAGTGAAACTCCGTAGCCATTATTAGTCACTCCTCATCCTTCCTTCCCCCTAAGCTCTGGCAGCCACTAGTCTATAGTTTGTCTCTGTGGATTTACCTATTTTGGACATTTCCTATAAAAAGGGAAGCTTTTTGTATATAGCTTCTTTCAGTGAGTACAATGTTTTTGAGGTTCATCTATGTTTTAGCATCTTTCATACTTCATTCCTTTTTATGACTAAATAATACTCGATTTTATGGATATACCACATTTTGTTTATCCATTCATCAGTTGATTAACATTTCAGTTGTTTCCTTTTTTTGCTATCTTATATGAACATATGTTTTCAATTCCCTAAGGTACGTACCAAGGAGTGAAATTGCTCATCATATTAGTAATTCTAGGTTTAAGTTTTTTTTTTGTTTGTTTTTGAGACGGAGTCTCCCTCTGTTGCCCAGGCTGGAATGCAGTGGCGCGATCTCGGCTCACTGCAAGCTCCACCTCCTGGTTTCTCGCCATTCTCCCGCCTCAGCCTTCCAAGTAGCTGGGACTACAGGTGCCTGCCACCACGCCCAGCTAATTTGGTTTCTGTATTTTTAGTAGAGATGGGGTTTCACCGTGTGGCCTCATGATCCACCTGCCTCAGCCTCCCGAAGTGCTGGGATTACAGGCGTGAGCCACCACACCCGGCCTCTAGGTTTACCTTTTAAAGGAACTCCCAAACTGTTTTTTTACTACCATTTCATATTTCTACCAGCAATTTCCATGGGTTCCTATTTCTCCACAACCTCATCAACACCTGTAATTGTTTTAAAAAATTATTATACGGCTGGGCCCAGTGGCTCACACTTGTAATCTCAGCACTTTGGGAGGCTAAGGCGGGTAGATCGCTTGAGGTTGGGAGTTTGAGACCAGATCGGCCAACATGGTGAAATCCTGTCTCTACTAAAAATTTAAAAAATAGCTGGGCATCGTGGCACATGCCTGTAGTTCCAGCTATTCAGGAGGCTGAGGCATGAGAATTGCTTGAACCCGGGAGGCGGAGGTTGCAGTGAGCTGAGATGGGATCACACCACTGCACTCCAGCCTGGGCTACAGAGTGAGACTCCATCTCAAAAAAAAAAAATTAAAAGTTAAAAAAATTAGAGTAGCCATCATAGTGGGTATGACTTAGTATCTCCTAGTTTTGATTTGTAATTCCCTAATGATTAGCAGCATTGAGCATCTTTTCATATGCTTATTGGTCATTTGTTGTCTTCTTTGAAGAAATGCCTATTCAAATCCTTTGTCTTGGCCTGTGGATGGCTCATGCCTGTAATCCTTGCACTTTAGGAGGCCGAGGCAGGCAGATCACTTGAGGTCAGGAGTTCAAGACCAGCCTGGCCAATGTGGGGAAACCCCGTCTCTACTAAAAATAAAAAATAAAAAATAAATTAGCTGGGCGTGGTGGCGGGCGCCTGTAATTCCAGCTACTCTGGAGGCTGAGGCAGGAGAATCACTTGAACCTAGGAGACGGAGGTTGCAGTGAGTGGAGATTGCGCCACTGTACTCCAGCTTGGGGGACAGAGCAAGACTTCATCTCAAAAAAAAAAAAAAAATCCTTTGTCAATTTTTTAGTTGGGTTGTCTTTTATTGCTGAATTGTTAGAGTTTTTTATATATTCTAGATACAAGTTCTTTTTTTTTGAGACGGAGTCTTACTCTGTCCCCCAGGCTGGAGTGCAGTGGCACGATCTTGGCTCACTGCAAGCTCCGCCTCCCGGGTTCACGCCATTCTCCTGCCTCAGCCTCCCGAGTAGCTGGGACTACAGGCATGCGCCACCACGCCCGGCTAATTTTTTGTATTCATAATAGAGACGGGGTTTCACGGTGTTAGCCAGGCTTGTCTCTATCTCCTGACCTTGTGATCCACCTGCCTCGGCCTCCCAAAGTGCTGGGATTACAGGCGTGAGCCACCATGCCCGGCCAATTCAAGTTCTTTACTAGAATGACTTGCAAATATTTTATCCTTTTCTATAGGTTGTCTTTTCAGTTTCTGGATAATGTCCTTTGTAGCACTAAAGTGTTTAATTTTGGAGTAGATCAATTTTTCTATTTTTTTCTTTTATAGTTTGTGTTTTTGGTGCCATAACTAAAAAAACATTACCTAATCCAAGGTCACAGGGATTTACATCTATGTTTTCTTCTAAGAGTTTATAATTTTAGCTCTTATGTTTAGGTCCTGATCCATTTTGAGTTAATTTTTGTATATAGTGTATGGTACTCAGGTGCCAAATTCATTATTTTGTATGTAGATATCTAGTTGTTCAGAACCATTTGTTGAAAGATTATTCTTTCCTCCATTGAACTGTCTTGGCAGCCTTGTTGAAAATCAATTGATGCAAGAGTCTGGGTTTATTTCTGGACTCTCAATTCATTGTCCTCAACTACATGTCTATTCTTATGCCCATACTACAGTCTTGATATTATAGCTTTAAGCAAAGTTTTGAAATGGGGAGGTGTGAGTCTTTCAATTTTTAACTTTTTCAAGATTGTTTTGGTTATTCAGGGCCCCTTGCAGTTCTATATGTATTTGAGGATCAGCTTTTACATTTCTGAAAAAATTAAAAATGCTGTTGGAATTTTGACAGGGATTGTGTTGAGTCTGCAGATTAATTTAAGAAGTACTGATATCTTAACAATATTAGATATTCCAATCCATGAAAACAGATGTTGTTTCAACTAGTCTTCTTTCTTTTTCTCTTTTTCTTGCTTCTCTTTTTGGTTTTCAGTAGGATCTTGCTCTGTCACCCAGGCTGGAGTACAGTGGCGCGATCATAGCTAACTACAAACTCAAACTCCTGATCCTCCTGCCTCAGCCTCCTGAGTCATCTCTTTCAATGATCTCTTTTTCAGTATGAGTCATCCATTTCTTTTGTTTGTTTGTTTCTTTTTTTTTTTTTTTTTGAGACGGAGTCTCACACTGTTGCCTGGGCTGGAGGGCAATGGCACGATCTCAGCTCACTGCAACCTCCACCTCCCGGGTTCAAGCAATTCTCCTGCCTCAGCCTCCCGAGTAGCTGGGATTACAGGTGCCCGCCACCACACCCAGCTAATTTTTTTGTATTTTTAGTAGAGATGAGGTTTCACTATGTTGGCCAGGCTGGTCTCGAACTCCTGACCTCATGATCTGCCTGCCTCGGCCTCCCAAAGTGCTGGGATTACAGGTGTGAGCCACCTTGCCTGGCTGAGTCATCCACTTCTTTTGTTAAATTTGTTGCAAAGTATTTTATTATATTTGATGGTATTATAAATGGAATTATTTTCTTAATTTTATTTTTGGATTGTTCATTGTTACTTTATAGAAATACAACTGATTTTTGTATATTGATCTTGCATTGTTGCACCATTCTGAGCTTGTTTATTAGCCCTAATGGATTTTTTGTGAATTGTTTAGGGATTTTTATCTCATCTGCAAAAAAAGATAGTTGTCCCTCCTCTTTTCCAACCTAGATGCCTTTTATTTTATTTTCTTGCCTAATTGCCTTGGCTAGAACTTCCAGTTCAATTTTGAATGCAAGTGATGACAGCAGGCATTGTTGTCTTGTTTCCAATAACTTTTAACTTCTAATTTTCCCCCAAATATAAAGATAAACACATTAGATAGAAAAATATTACTGATAATAGTAGTCATCATTATTTAAAATCTTTTGTTAATGGGAGTACTTCTAATATTTTCCTTTGAACATAAGCTGTCTTGAGGTTAAAATAGATTCATATTAAGGAAATGTCTTCTATTCTTTTTTTTTATTTTTCAAATTTAATTAAAAAAATTTTTTATTTCCTCATTCTTGCTGTCAACTTATATTCTTATTCTTTTATGATCATTTTTGATTGAAAAGTAGATGGGCCAGGCACTGTGGTTCACATCTATAATCCCAGCATTTTGGGAGGCCGAGGCAGATGGATCACTTGAGGTCAGGAGTTCGAGACCAGCCTGGCCAACATGGTGAAACCCCATCTCCATTAAAAATACAAAAATTAGCAAGGCATGGTGATGCATGCCTATAATCCCAGCTACTTGGGACACTGAGGCAGGAGAATCACTTGAACCCAAGAGGCTGAGGTTGCAGTGAGCTGAGCTGAGATCGCACCACTGCACTCTAGCCTGGGTGAAAAAGCGAGACTCTGTCTAAATAAATAAATAAATAAATAAATAAATAAATGTTAAAAGGTTTTTTTTTTGTTTTTTTTTTTTGAGATGGAATCTCACTCTGTCGCTCAGGCTGGAGTGCAGTGGTGTGATCTCAGCTCACTGCAACCTCCACCTTCCAGGTTCACGTCATTCTCCTGCCTCAGCCTCCAGAGTAGCTGGGACTACAGGTGCCTGCCACCACGCCTGGCTAATTTTTTGTATTTTCAGTAGAGACAGGGTTTCACTGTGTTAGCCAGGATGGTCTCAATCTCCTGATCTCATGATCTGCCCACCTTGGCCTCCCAAAAGCTTTTAATCAAATTATTTTTCAAAGTCTGTTGAGTTGATTGTCCTTGGGTCTCTTTATAAAATAGATTTCCTAATAATTTATTATCCTTGTATTTCTGAAATAATCCCCATTTTTGTCCTTTCATTCTTGTAAGGTATTACAGGATTCTTTTTCCTAGTACCTAGTATTATTTCATCAATACATATAAATGAGATTAGTGCTCAGGTTTTTTTCTACACACCTTGTTAGAGTTAGTGTCAAACTATTCTTGCTTCATAGAAGTATTTTAGATGGTTTCTTTCTTTTTTTTATGTGTTAGAAAAGCTCACATAGCTTTGGAATTGTTTCCTTAAAGGTGGAATATAACCACCTATGAAAATATCTAGACCTGGTACTCCTTTTGTGGAATAGCTCTTTATACTTCTTTTATGGTAATTATTTGCTTATTTAGATTTTCTGTTTTTTTTTTTAAGATCAGTTTTGGCAAGTCATACTTTCTTTAAAAATAATCCATTTTATCTAGAATTTCCAAATTATTGCATCAAGTATATTTTAGCTGTTTTTCCTAGTTAACTTAGCTAAAAGCCTATCTTTTTTATTTTTCAAGTAACCAGCTCTTGGATTATATATTTAATTCTACTTTTTTTCTAATTAAGTAGTTTCTATTTTTATTTTTTCAATTTCTTTGCTTTCTTAGCTTTGTTTGGCTGATCTTTAACTTCATTCATTTTGATGCTTTCCTTCTTTCTTTCTTTCCCTTCCTTCCTTCCTTCCTTCCTTCCTTCCTTCCTTCATCTTCTTTCTTTCTTGATGGAGTCTCGCTCTGGAGTGCAGTGGCACGATCTTGGCTCACTGCAATCTCCGTCTCCTGGGTTCAAGTGATTTTCCTGCCTCAGACTTGTGAGTAACGGGGATTACAGGTGCCTGCCACCATGTCCAGCTGTTTTTTGTTTGTTTGTTTGTTTGTTTTTTTGAGACAGAGTCTCCTCTGTCGCCCAGGCTGGAGTGCAGTGGCACGATCTCGGCTCACTGCAAGCTCTGCCTCCCGCGTTCAAGCGATTCTCCTGCCTCAGCCTCCTGAGTAGCTGGGATTAGAGGCATGTGCCACCATGCCTGGCTAATTTTTGTATTTTTAGTAGAGGCGGGGTTTCAGCATGTTAGCCAGGATGGTCTCCATCTCCTTACTGCGTGATCCACCCACCTCAGCCTCCCAAAGTGCTGGGATTACAGGCATAAGCCACCGTGCCCGGTCCTCACCTACTTTTTTAGTAGAGACAAGATTTCACCATGTTGGCCAGGCTGATCTTGAGCTCCTGACCTCAAGTGATTTACCCACCTTGGCCTCCCAAAGTGCTGGGATTATAGGAGTGAGCCACTGCACCTGGCCTATTCTCTTATTAACTAATACAGTGAAGTTTTCCAGCTGCCTTACGATTTGTTCACCTGTGGATGTGACCTACTTTGAATATTTGTAGAGCCAGATTCTAAGATACGTTTGTGTCAACATGACTTGGAATATATGCAATTTATATCTGCTTAAAAGCCAAAATCATTTAAGTGTGCACAGATAGCCAGTAACAGGGATGGTTAAACTTAGTGCTTCATGTAACTTCAGTCTGCTTTGACAAGGACAGCTAGGCCCTCAGCTTTATGCAAACTTTCTGCATTGTAACTTGTTTGCTCTCTCTCAGACCCAAACCCCACTCCATATACCTATCCACCAACTAAACTGTGCTGCCTTGTCCTTCCTTTTCTTTTTTGACACAGTTCATTAAGTTCAAGACTTCCCCTAGCAAACTGAATACACCCTTTTCTCTTTTCTCTTTCCACAGCTGCCTTTGCCACAGTTTCTGCTCACACACCCCTTCCCTGAGAGGTTTCTAGCTTAGGCTTTGAGTGTCTTCCTATTGTCATAGCCTCCTTTGATAAAGTCTTGCCTTGCTGAGGTCTAGACTTGCATTTTTGCTTTGGCACCACAAGAGATACTTTATTCCTAGAACTCCACTGATTTTTGGATAATTTTGCTGCTAGTGACTTTTGCTTATTAAATAGTATAACTATTTTACACATGCAGCAGGTTTTTGGACTCCCACAGTACAATCCCTAGATACAAATCCGGATCAGTATACATGTCATTATGGCATATTATTAAAGTATTTATTTTTACATTTTTTGTTTTGTTTCTTCCTTTTTTTTTTTTTTTTTTTGAGACAGAGTCTTGCTCTGTCACCTAAGCTGGAGTGTAGTGGTGCAATCATGGCTCACTGCAGCCTCAACTTCCCAGGCTCACGTGATTCTTCCACCTTAGCCTTCCCAGTAGCTGGTTCTACCTGCGCTTGCCACCACGCCAGGCTAATTTTTTTGTAGAGACAGGGTTTCGCCATGTTGCCCAGGTTGCTCTCAAACTCCTGGGCTCAAGCAATTTACCCGCCTCGGCTTCCCCAAATGCTGGAATTACAGGCGTGTGCCACCATGCCCAGTCAAATTTTTTGCTTTGTTTCTTTTTTTTTTTTTTTTTTTTTTGAGATAGAGTCTCGCTCTGTCGCCCAGGCTGGAGTGCAGTGGCGTGATCTCGGCTCACTGCAAGCTCCGCCTCCCGGGTTCACGCCATTCTTCTGCCTCAGCTCCCGAGTAGCTGGGACTACAGGCGCCCGTCACCACGCCCGGCTAATTTTTTTGTATTTTTTTAGTAGAGACGGCGTTTCACCATGTTAGCCAGGATGGTCTCGATCTCCTGACCTCGTGATCCACCCACCTCGGCCTCCCAAAGTGCTGGGATTACAGGCGTGAGTCACTGCGCCCGGCCTTGCTTTGTTTATTAATATTGTTATATATAAAGTTTCAGTGCCGCAAAAGAAATAGCACTCGAATATAAAATTTTCTTTTTAATTCTCAGCAAGGCAAGGTACTTCTATAGAAGGGTGCGCCCTTACAGATGGAGCAATGGTGAGCACACACTTGGACAAGGAAGGGGAGGGGGTTCTTATCCCTGATTCAGGTGGCCCCTGCTGCTGTGTCATTCCCCTATTGGCTAGGGTTAGACCGCCCAGGCTAAACTAATTCCGATTGGCCAATTTAAAGAGAGTGATGGGGTGAGTGGTTTGGCGGGAAAAATGGTTATGACAGAGCAGGTAATGGGAATGAGTCAGGGTGGAGCAGGTCATGGGAATGAGTCAAGGTGGAGCAGGTAATGGGAATGAATCAGGGTGGAGCAGGTAATCAGAACGCGTCAGGGTGGAGCAGGTGATTGAAATGAGTCAGGTTGGAGCAGGTGATTGAAATGAGTCAGGTTGGAGCAGGTGATCAAAATGAGTCAGGGTGGAGCAGGTAATTGAAAAAGGTTGCTTTATGAGGAAGTTTAAAAGTAGAAGGTAAATAATTGAACATACTGACATATTCTTTGAAAACAAGTTTAGAATTCATATCTAACAATATGACTTTTTTTTTTTTTGAGACGGAGTCTCGCTCTGTCGCCCAGGCTGGAGTGCAGTGGTGCAATCTCGGCTCACTGCAAGCTCCGTCTCCCGGGTTCACACCATTCTCCTGCCTCAGCCTCCCAAGTAGCTGGGACTACAGGCACCCGCCATCACGCCCGGCTAATTTTTTGTACATTTAGTAGAGACGGGGTTTCACCATGTTAGCCAGGATGGTCTCGAACTCCTGACCTCGTGATCCAGCCGCCTTGGCCTCCCAAAGTGCTGGGATTACAGGCATAAGCCACTGCGCCCAGCCAACAATATGACTTTTATTACTAAGTTCTGCATTTGTAATGAAGCTGCCCCTGCAAAATTATGACAGTAAAAGAAATCTGATGTAATTGACTCCATCCTGCTTCTTACCTCCAAGCTGTTCTTGGTCATACCTGGGCACAGACCAAGCTAACTCTGGGAGGAATGTAGTTGTCAATAGTTTAACTTCGGGCCAGGTGCGGTGGTTCATGCCTGTAATCCCAGCACTTTGGGAGGCCAAGGCGGGGAAATCACCTGAGGTCAGGAGTTCAAGACCAGCCTGGCCAACATGGTGAAACCCCATCTCTACAAAAAATACAAAAAATGAGCCGGGTACAGTGGTGGGTGCCTGTAATCCCAGCTACTTGGGAGGCTGAGGCAGGAGAATCGCTTTAACTCAGGAGGCAGAGGTTGCAGTGAGCCAAGATTGCCCCACTACACTCCAGCTCAGGGGCAACAGAGTGAGACTCTGTCTCAAAAATAAAAATATATAGTTTGGCTTTGAAGCAAAGATTATAATAATCCTTCCCTAAAATGAATTCCCTCCCTGTTCAGGGGCTGAAACTGCCTTTTTAAAACTAATGAAAGGCCATAAGATTAGGGTTATGGGAGGGGCCTGAGTTCTGCTAAAATGTAGGCATAGTTTCTACAATCTCTTATTGCTCAGGAGTCCTGTGGCCAGAGGTCACAGGATTTGTGACTTCTCCAATTGCTCCTATAGATAACACCACTACTGTAAAACCTGAGATTTTTTTTTTTTTTTTTTTTTGAGATTTTCTCAGACTGACTCCACCTGGACTCGTGACTCATGACTCAGCTGGTCCTGTGGCTCCACCAGAAGTGGACTAAGTGCACAAGGACTATTTTCCACACCCCTGTGATTTCCTCCCTGATCACTCAGCAGTACCCATTCCCTAGCTCCCTGCCCACCAAATTGTCCATTAAAAACCCTAATCTCTGAGCCTTCAAGGAAACTGACTTGAGGAGTAACACCATCTTCTGTGTGCCTGGCCTTGTGTCAAATTTTTCTCTACTGCAATGCTGAGGTCTCAGTAAATCGATTTTTGTCTGTGCAGTGGGCTGGAAGGAGTCAACAGGTGATTATAGTAATTCTATATAATATTCTTTAAGATAAGTGTAGAAAAGAATTTCAGAAATTTATTTCATTGTTCATAACTTGTAATAAAGATATTTAAAATACAATGTTTGAACACTGCTTCAGCAGTATCATATAGAGTCTGATGTGCAATATTTTTGTTATCATTACTTTTTAGATGGTCTGCAATTTCATTTGGATTTTCCTCTTGGGCCCGAGAGCTATTTAAAACCAAGATATTTTATTTCCAAATACGTAGGGGCTTTGGTTTCCTCCTTATATTATTGTCTTCTAGTTTTATTGCCTTGGTACTAGATAAAGTTGTCTGTACTGTTTTATCCTTTTTTTTTTTTTTTCTCTCTTTTTGAGACAGAGTCTCTCTCTGTCACCCAGACTGGAGTGCAGTGGTGCTATCTCGGCTCCCTGCAACCTCCACCTCCCAGGTTCAAACAATTCTCCTGCCTTCGCCTCCGGAGTAGCTGGGATTACAGGTGCCTTCTACTTTGCCTGGCTAATTTTTGTATTCTTAGTAGAGACGGGGTTTCACCATGTTGGCCAGGCTAGTCTCAAACTCCTGACCTCAGGCAATCCACCTGCCTTGGCCTCCCAAAGTGCTGGGATTACAGGCTTGAGCTAGTGTGCCCAGCTGTACTGTTTTATCTTTTTGAAATTTATTGAAGGTTTTTTTATTGGAAATATAAAAATATGTATTTTCTGTTTTCAGAAGCACAGAATTTGACATATATCTACCTTACTAATTATAAATTCACTATACCCTTGTTTGGCTTTCTGCATACTTTTGAGAAGAGTTAAAGTATCCCACCATTAATGTATTTCTCTCTACTTTTCTGTTGTAGACCTTGAAGGAAATTAAAATATTTTAGCCCCAAATATATTTCTTTGACATATTTTGAAATGGCTGCCCCTTGGTCAGAAAACGGAAGTGGCCTAGCAAAGCTGTCCTTTGTGGGGAAAATTTGCATCTGTAGAGAATCTCCACTAATGCAGCCCTGCCTCTCTTTTCTATTCCTTTCCCGATCCAGGAGAGACTGGCAGTCTGGCACCTTTAAAGGTGTGGAAATAAACTTTTACCATGTATTCCCTCTGAGGGAGGCTTCTCTGTACAACAAGGCCACCATTGCTAGCAAAGCCTCTTCCTTCCTTTCTTCCTCCCATAACCTGCCTTGCCACTAAATCCTGTTTTTGGACATACTCTGAGTCCGCATTGTTTCTGCAATTTCAAGGTGGTATATAAGCTTCTGTTACTTATTGGGAAATTGGGTCCGCATTCTGAAGGCTCCTGTGTATACATGTTAAATAAATTTGTACGCTTTTTCTTCTATTCGTCAATCTGCTTCATGTCGGTGATTTTTTAGCAAACCTTTAGGGGGTCAACAGCCCATGGCCTCCAACACCTTAACTTTTGCTTTAAGGGCTATGCTTATATCAATGCCATGTTATTTGTAAATAGATATTCATAACTGTTATTTTTGTGAATTTCAACCTTTAGCATATAAAGTGTCTGTGTCTTATTTAGCACTTATTCCCCCAAACTCAGTCATATTTGAATTTATTTATTTATTTATTTTACCAGAAACACGTACACTTTATTGAATGCCGTCGTAAAAAAGTGTGTGAGGATAAAGGGCTGATACAGGACTTGGCTCCGGGAGCAGGGCGAGGAATGGAAGGTGGAGTACAAAGGATACAGGTCATGGGTAGATCTCCTGGCCTCAGTGATGTCTCCTGATCTATCTATGGGCTTGGAAGATTAATACTGGGATGATGATGAGCAGAATGGTCATGAGGATGCCCAAAATCAGGGCCCAGATGTTCAGGCACTTGGTGGTGGAGGCATAGGCCTGGGCCCCAGTCACGTTGCCAACCATCTTCCTGTCCCTAGACTTCACGGAGTAGGCAAATGCTATGAAGCCCAGGCAGCAGGGGTTCATGAAGAGGGTGTTGAACAGGGACCAGACGACATGGTGGGGCACGGAGGTCTTGCTGCGGATGTGGATCACGGTGGACGTTGGGGGAGCAGGGTTGTGGGGCACCCCCAGCACAGCCACCTTGTGCTCCTCCTTGAGCATCTCATAGTTGGGGGGCTGGCCGCTGTTGACAGGAGAGAAGAAGGTTTGGACAGTGTGGTTCATGGTGTCCAGCGAAGACCAGCCGTGGTTGAGTTACTGGGATGGTTCTCAGTGGACCCTCCCTTTCCCCAGTAGTTTTGTTTTCTCCATATTTGAAATTAAGATAACAATTACTTTCGTTTGCATTAGCCTAGTACAGGTTTGCCCATTTATCTTTTTTTCTCTTCATTTTCTGTCCTTCTGAATCTATTAGTTTTAGGTTTGTCTTTGTTTTTATGGTATTGAATTATTTTTTATTTGTGGTTCTATCTGACTTTTTCCCCTTTTACTAGATGAATTAAACTCATTTACAATTATTACAATTGTTTAAAATTTTTGATATGAAAGACATGTTTGGTCATGACTATATCATGTTATTTCATGTTATAATTCATGGTTTCAAAGTTAAAAATATTTTCGTATGTGAGATGTTTTCGTATGTGAGATGTTTTTGTTGTATGTCCATTTCTTCTGATAATTATGCATGTTTGTATTTTGTCAAATGTCTGATCTTCTTTCTTTTTTTTTTTTCTTTGAGATGGAGTCTCGCTCTGTCACCCAGGCTGGAGGGCAGTGTCGCGATCTTGGCTCACTGCAACCTCCTCCTCCCAGGTTCAAGCGATTCTCCTGCCTCACGCTCCTGAGTAGCTGGGATTACAGGTGTGTGCCACACCACCAGGCCCAGCTAATTTTTGTATTTGGTAGAGACGGGGTTTACCATGTTGGCCGTGATGGTCTCCATCTCCTGACCTTGTGATCTACCTGCCTCGGCCTCCCAAAGTTCTGGGATTACAGTCATGAGCCACTGTGCCCGGCCCTGATCTTCTTTCTTTAACCACTATTATCAATGCCCTATTCTGATAATTGCTAATAATTAAATTAGTAGCTTTCTTCTTCCTTCCACCTCCTTTTTCTCTCTACAACTTCTCAATTTTTGTTAATTATATTATGTTTCTTAATGTGTATATTTGTTCTGTTTAATAACAACAATCCCACATTTATTTTAGTTTTAAGCCAATTTACCAGCAGCGCTTATGCTATCTACCCAGTGCTTTCTAGTCATCTCTGGTTTGACAACATTTGTCCATTGGTGGATTCTTCATGTGAGTTAATACAAACAATACCCTTAAGATGTTGTGTTTTCAAAACTCTTTGGCTTTATATACATACATACATATGTATGTATATAAACAAATATATATATGTGTGTGTGTTTGTTTTGTCTTGTTTTGAGACAGGGTCTCACTGTGTCACCTAGGCTGGAGTGTGGTGGTGCAACCATGGCTCACCACAGCCTCAATCTCCTGCACTCAAGCGATCCTCCCACCTCAGCCTCCCAGGTAGCTGGAACTGTAGGCATGCATCATCATGCCTGGCTAAATTTTTTTTTAATTTTATTTTTATTAGGGACAAGGTGTCACCATGTTGCCCAGGCTGGTCTTGAACTCCTGGGATCAAGGAATCCTCCTGCCTCAGCCTCCCAAAGTGCTAGAATTAGAGACGTGAGGCACCACACCACCTACCTTTATATTTAAGCAACAGTTTGACTGCATACAAAATTCCTGGGTCACATCTCTTTGCTGGAGGATTTTATTGGTATGTATACATAATGTCTTCTAAGAACAAATGCTGTGGAGAAATCTGAAATCAGCCTGTTTTTCTCATTATAAGTGATTTATTCTCTGGCTTTTAAATAATTCTTTTTGAAATCTAATAATTTTATCAGGACATAGATTGCTCTTGACTACTTGGAATCTTTTTTAGTAATATGCCATTTTACATTTTTAGACTCGTTTCCTTTTTCTCTGCAATTTTTTAAAAATTATATTTTAAATTTGTTTCCCTGTTTCCTTATTTTTTTTTTCTTTGCTTTCAAGATCTGTGGGTATATGCTTCTCACCAGTTCTGGGAAATTCACAGCCATTATCTCTTTACACATTGCCTCTACTCTTTTCTCACTATCTTTCTAATTGAAACTAAGTGTATGTTAAATCTTCTTGATGCAGAACTGCTGGGCTCCAGGCTAAACTTCACCCTCAAGCCTGGAACCTCAGTCCTAAGTGAAACAGCTGACCCCATTTTTTCCACCCAAATGATTGCTTTTTTGGCCCGCTCCACCCCCTGTCATATGCCTATAAATACCAGACCAGCTAGCAGAACAAAAGGAAGAAAAAGAGCAACCTCAGCAGCTGATGCAAGTGGTCGGGGATACAAGCTGCTGAGCATCAGGAATACATGCAGCTGAGCATCGGAAACTACAGATAGACACGGCTTCAGAGAAAGAGCAGTTTCTTCCCATACCATCCCCTTTCCAATTCCCCATCCTGCTGAGAGCCACTTTTATCACACAGTAAAATCTTCCATATACACTACCCTTCAAAAAGTTTATGTGACCTGATTCTTCCTGGACTCTGAATAAGAATTCGGGTGTCAAGAAGGGCAGGTGCAGAAGGCTGTCAGCCTGGGCTGTTAACACTTAGCCATCCACGGACTGCAGGCTGAGTGAAACAAGCCACTCCAGTTCCTGCCCACAAAGGGGGTCAAGGTCAAGACTTGACCTTGAACTATGAACTATCCTGTCTCATTCTCATCCTATCTTACATATCTTTTAACCTTTTTTTCATATTTTCCATTTCCTTGTTTCTCCCTGTGCATTCTGGATCAGTTATTTAGATATATTTTCTGGTTCACAAATTCTCACTTGAGTTATCTAATCTGCTAGTTCATCCCTCCACTGAGTTCCTACCACCACTTCCCCATCCCCGACCTCATTTTTTTTTTTTTTTTTTTTTTTTTTGTTTTGAGACGAAGTCTCGCTCTGTGGCCAGGCTGGAGTGCAGTGGTGCGATCTCGGCTCACTGCAACCTCCTGCCTCAGCCTCCCAAGCAGCTGGGATTATAAGGCGCACACTGCCACACCTGACTAATTTTTGTCTTTTTAGTAGGGATGGGGTTTCATCATGTTGGCCAGGCTTGTCTTGAATTCCAGACCGCAAATGATCCACCCTTCGGCCTCCCAAAGTGGTGGGATTACAGGCATGTGCCATCATGCCTGGCTAATTTTTGTATTTTTGTAGTGACGGGGTTTTGCCATGTTGACTGGGCTGGTCTCAAACTCCTGATCTCAAAGGATCCACACGCCTTAGCCTCACAAAGTGCTGGGATTACAGATGTGAGTCACCCCATTATATTTTTAATTCCTGGTTCTTTTTGGATTGTTTCCAAAATGTTTCTGTTCATTCCTGTTTCTAGTTGAAGGCTCACTTTTTAAATTATATACTTCTTTAAACACTTCATACACAGCTGTTTTATGTCGTATATATGTAATTATAATTCTAATACTAGAAATATTTGAGAAATCTAAATCAGTTGTTTCTGCTGACTCTCACAGTGATTGCCTTCTTGTGTGTTTGGTAATCCAGTTTGTGAGTTGATGGCTTCATCATAATCTGTGGGAGTCCTCTGTACCAAACTTGGAAAGTTCTCCTCCAGACAAGGTCGGTTTTCATTCCTGTCTGTAATGTTGAGGCTTAGAAACCAATTCCCCAAAATATGGCATGTTTACATCCTGAACTAAGAAGACTCAAGGTCTCTCTGATCTACCCACCCCTCACCAGCTCTTCCAAAGAGGCTCAAGTTCCTTTACCTGCCTAAGCTCCAGACCCACCAAGGAGAACAATAGTTTTCTTCCCTTCCCTGGGAAACCTGCCCAATTGTCCTGTAGAGGTGATGTTTATGGTTCTTTTTAATAAACATAGAAATTTATCCTCCTGGTCTTAAAACTTGAGAAAATTACATCTGTCTTATCTGAGTTGCTTTCTCAGAAAAGAAACCATCAGTCCTCCCAGACAGTATCAAGGAGCTGAAACTTACCAGATCATCACATCTGGACAAAGGGAGCCAGACGCCTCACCAATCATGACTGCCTGCTTCCTGTTGACCCCTTTCTCTTCCTTACCCCTCCCTAAAATTCCCGTTTTTCCACACATAGTTACATTTCTTCCCTGCTATACAAATCCCAAATTTTAGACAGTCAGGGAGTTGGATTTGGGACTGATCTCCCATCTCCTCTGCTGCAGCACTGGATTACAGCCTTCTTCCCTGGCAATACTCATTGTCTTAATGATTGGCTTTCTGTGAGGGGAGCAACAGGACCTAGACTGAATCTTGGGTGTTTTGGTAACATCTGTAAGACCGAAAATGTAACCACACCTAAACAGACCCTTTTTCAAGATAATGACTGACTCTCTCCAAGGATCATTTAAATTCCAAAGAGAACTACCTACAAGTTAATTTCTGTTCCCTGATCCAGTCATTCTCCCTAGCAATCATTTATTACCCCTCATCTAATCTAATCCCAAACCCTAAATCTAATAAAATACTTCTAAAATCTGCACCCCTAATGCCCTCCCACACTCAACCATTCCACTTACTTTGTAATTTAGAGAGGCCTAAATTTTGTTAAAATAGAGGCACAGCTAATAGATGTTTGTTACACTTACTTTCTTTCCCTTTGACATTTTCATCTACCAGGCATGATTACGTAACATAGTCCTTTTTTTTTTTTTTGTGATGAAGTCTTGCTCTGTCGCCCAGGCTGGAGTACGGTGGTGCGATCTCAGCTCACTACAGCCTCTGCCTCCCGGGTTCAAGCAATTCTCCTGCCTCAGCCTCCCGAGTAGCTGGGATTGCAGGCGTGTGCCACCACGCCCGGCTAATTTTTTGTATTTTTAGTAGAGGCGGGGTTTCACCATGTTGGCCAGGCTGGTCTCGAACTCCTGACCTCAGGTGATCTGCCAGCCTCTGCCTCCCAAAGTGCTGGGATTATAGGCATTGAGCCACTGCCTGGCCAACACGGTGAAACCCCGCCTCTACTAAAAATACAAAAAATTAGCCAGGCGTGGTGGCACATGCCTGTGATCCCAGCTACTCGGGAGGCTGAAGCAGGAGAATCGCTTGAACCCAGGAGGCGGAGGTTGCAGTGAGCCCAGGTTGTGCCACTGCACTCCAGCCTCGGCGACAGACCAAGACTCTGTCTCAAAAAAAAAAAAAAAAAGAAAAAGAAACAATGATCTTTAAGTCATGCAGACTGCCTTTGTATTTTCCAGAAGTTGGATCAACTGAGGAGTGCAAGCAGTTTCAATCACCAGGGAGCTCACCTCTTAAGCTGTAGGCGTAGTTGAATGATAGCCCATCATTGTTCTCTTGTTTGCTTTTCTATAATTGCTTATTGCTCAGGAGTTATGTAACAGGCAGTCACAAGCGCTATTGTGAAACCTGAGACTGATCTCTGAGATATTTTTCAGACTTTGCCTTCAGGTGAATCAACTGACACCAGCTTGAACAGTGACCGTGACTGCAACAAAGGAACTGACTCAACCGGTCCTCTGACCACTCCCCTGCAGGAAATGACTCAGCACATGAAGACAGTTTCAACACTCCTATGATTTCATCCCCCAACCAATCCACAACATCTGTTTCCTAATGCCCTACCTGCCAAATCATCCTTAAAAACCTTAGCCTCTGAATTCTTGGTGAGGTGGATCTGGGAAATGTATCCCGTCCTCCTCACTCTATTGCCTTGCAATAATCAAACTCTTTCTCTGCTGCAACTCCTGCTGGCTCAGTGTTTTGGTTTTATCTGTGCAGTGGGCAAGAACCAGTCAGGTGGTAACAGTTCTGATTGTTACTTTTGGGTGATTTCCCCTACAAAGAGGAAAAATACTAATTTTGAACCACCATATTCAATTCTTAAGGCTTCCTATATTCTTAGTGATAATGTCATTTTTGAAGATAACATATTTCAAAGTACAGTAGCTTTGAAGTATATTTGTATTTTGAAGATACATGTACTTGAAAAATTGAGTTTGGCAATGTGTTTCCACTAACATTAATTTAACAGGTAAGGCCGGGCGCAGTGGTTCACGCCTGTAATCCCAGCACTTTGGGAGGCCAAGGTGGGCAGATCACGAGGTCTAGGAGTTCGAGACCAGCCTGGCCAATATGGTGACACCCTGTCTCTACTAAAAATACAAAAATTAGCTGGGCGTGGTGGCTCGCACCTGTAGTCCCAGCTACTCGGGAGGCTGAGGCAGAAGAATCGCTTGAGCCTGGGAGGCGGAGGTTGCAGTGAGCCGAGATGGTGCCACTGCACGCCAGCCTGGGTGACAGAGCGAGACTCCGTCTCAAAAAAAAAAAAAATTTACCAGGTAAAAGTCATCTTGGTTTAAAATATTTTCACAACACTTTAATTTTTCATGTGGTTACCAGTGTGGCCTTATATCGCCAATGTTTAAAAAAATGTTATGGACTCCTGCCTCAGCCTCCCAAGTGGCTGGGACTACAGGCGCCGGCCACCATGCCTGGCTAATTTTTTGTATTTTAAGTAGAGACGGGGTTTCAGTGTGTTAGCCAGGATGGTCTCTATCTCCTGACCTCGTGATCTGCCCACCTCAGCCTCCCAAAGTGCTGGGATTACAGGGGTGAGCCACCGTGCCTGGCCAGAGGATAGTAGAAAATGAGAAGATTAATGCAGAAAAGTCATCAAAGCAGAAGGTAGATCTCCAGTCTTTGCCAACTCGTGCCTACCTGGATCAGACAGTTGTGCCTATCTTATTACAGGGACTTGCTGTGCTTGCAAAGGAAAGATGAGGAAACAGACTTGGAGAGGTTAAGTGACATGCTCAAGACAACACTGCTGGGTCTTGCTACGTACGTTGACCAGGTTGGAATGCAGTGGCGTGATCATGGCTCACTGTAGCCTCGACCTCATGGGCTCAAGTGATCCTCCCGCCTCTGCCTACCAAGTAGCTAGGACCACAGGCGAAGCCACCATGCCCGGATAATTAAAAAATAAAAAATTTATAGAAAAAAATGTTATCGAGGACTTTGAAAGTATTTCACTAAACCAAAACATAGTGATGAAAATAGTAATGTGAATATTAAAGTAGAGAATGTCACAAATATAAAAAATTAACAAGAGCCCCATTTTCACTGAGGAAATAGGTGAATATGATAATTTTATAGAAACAAGTAAAGAAAAATGTGAATAGAAGTATGAAAGTGGATATCTGAAAATGAGCAATCCAGCTACTCTTTTTTTTACACCATGTTTATCTTTTAAGTAAGTCTGTCAAGTTTTGACATGAAGTTAATGATGCTTTCATTTTGATTTTTTTTTTCTTTTCTTTTTTTTGAGATGGAGTCTCGCTCTATTGCCCAGGCTGGAGTGCAGTGGCGCGATCTTGGCTCACTGCAACCTCCACCTCCCAGGTTCACGCCATTCTCCTGCCTCAGAGTAGCTGGGATTACAGGCGCCCGCTGCCAGGCCCGGCTAATTTTTTGTATTTTTAGTAGAGACAGGGTTTCACCATGTTAGCCAGGATGGTCTCGATCTCCTGACCTTGTGATCCACCCACCTCGTTCTCTCAAAGTGCTGGGATTACAGGCGTGAGCCACCGCGCCCGACCTTCATTTTGATTTCTAACAAAACACTGAGCACTGGTAAACCAATTAAATTTTTCATTTCTAAAACAAAACAGCATAGTAAAAAATTAAATAATTCTTTTGCTAAAGTCAGAAAGAGGCCAAAACTAGATATCCATTCAGATTTGCACTTCTTATATCCTAAAACAGACAGTTCTTACTGCTGTCAAAAGGTTTGTAAAAACCTAATGTGAAATTATTCAAAATATGCTCAGAGAGAAAGCAAAACACACTGCTACTGGAAAATTACATTGTCAAGTGACTCATCTGACATTGTGTAACATTAGTAGCATTCATTATGAAAGAGGAATTACGGTCTTGTGTGCATGCTAGCAAATATCCTGTTCAGAATTGGATAAAGCCACCGACACTTGCCATCTGCCACAAAACATCCCCTATCAAGCTTGCCAACCATCTTTATCTTGCCAAATCTAATGATTTGTTCTCTATCCAAATCACAGTTAATTTCTCAGTAGTAGCTGACCATTATTTTCTTTTTGAAACACTTTCTTCTTGAAGTTTTCCTGAAGCCACACTGTTTCCCCTCTTTATCACTGGCTGCTTCTTCTCAATCTCCTTGCTAGTACCTGCCTCTTTTTTCTCCTCATCTTCTAAATATTAGGACTCTCTAGAGCTGGGTCCTTGATGCTCTTCTGTTTTTTGTGTACATTCTTTCCCTATTTAATCTCAGTCAGTCCCATAGCTTTATGACAAGCATGTTACGGATTCCCAAATGAATACCTAGAGCCCTGTTTTCTTCCCTGAACTCTGAATTCATATATCATTTGCTGCTTTATTATTATTATTATTATAGATGAGGTCTCACTACGTTGTCCAGGTTGGAGTGCAGTGGCTATTCACAGGTGTGATTGTAGCACACTGCAGCCTTGAACTCCTGGACTTGAGTGATCCTCCTGCCTCAGCCTCCTAAGAATAGCTGTGACTACAGGTGCATGCCACCCATAGCTGGCTAATTTTTAAATTTTTGTGGAGATGGGGGTCTCACTATTTTGCCCAGGCTGGTCTCAAACTCCTGAGCTCAAGCAATCCTCCTACCTCAGCCTTAGTAACTGGGACTACATCCATGTTCCACCACACCAGGCTCCAATTACATTTTGACTTCTCCACTTGGATGTTTAAAATGCTTCTCAAATTTAACATATCCTAAAGATAATTTTGTGTCTCCCCACAAAACTTGCTCTTTTTGCATTCATTGCTGTCTTAGTTAATGGCACCACCATCCATACTGTTACTTTAGCCAGAAACCTTTGAAACATCCCAATTGGTCTTTCTGATTTTCTCTGTTTCACAACTTATTCTCCACAGACAGGATACTCCAAACAGTACCCAAAGCCATTGTCTCTTATACTTTTCAATCTATAAAATATACATACATAAGAGTATATAAAATATATTATAAAGTAAATATCCATGTATCCAAACACACAGGTTTAGAACTGGAACACAATATGCAAAAGAATAATATTGGACCCCCTACCTCATGTCATATACAAAAATTAACTCAAAATATACCAAAGATCTAAATGTAAGAGCTGAAATTATAAAACTCTTCAAAGAAATCATAGGTGTAAATCTTTGTGTCCATGAATTTAGCAAGAATTTCTTAAATATGACCTCCAAAGCACAAGCAATCAAAGAAAAAAAATAGATAGGTTGGACTTCAACAAAATTAAAAATTTTCATGCTTCATAGAAACGGAACACTTTCAGGACATCATAAGACCTCTTCTTGCTCACATTTCCTCCCTTTCTGCAAAGATAAATGCAGTTCTTTGTGTGCATGTATTTGTGTGTGTGTGTGTGTGTGTATGTGTGTGTGTGCGTGATGATCATTCTCTTGCTTTAGTTTTATCTCACACTTATATCCATAAGCAATATCACCAATATTACAACCTAAACAATATAGTTTAGGTTTTACCCATCTTCAAGTTATATAAATGGAATCTCACTATTTTTTTTTTCTGTGACTTGCTGCTTTTTGGCTCAATATAATGTTTGTGAGCTTCATCTGTCCTTATGCATATAGCTGTAGCTCTGTATAGAATTTCATATATTGTAATTAATATCATAATTTATTATACTCTTTAATGGACTTTTGGGTGTTTTCAGTTATTATTAGTGCTACAATAAACACTTTGATACATGCTTTCTGGCACTTACATGCAAGAGTTTCTCTAAGATATATAACTAGGAGAATGTAGATATCAGACTGTCTAATAAACTTGAAGATGCACAGCCTTTCTTTTCCAAAATGGTTACAACCTGTTTAATGCTCTACCAAAGGGTGAGTTTCCATTGGTATTGTCAAAGTTCCTTGAGAGTGTCAGATTGTTTTTCCTACTTTTACCATCCTAGTGGCTTGTACAGTTTTTTGGGGGGAGTTTTTTGGAGACGGAGTCTTGCTATGTTCCCCAAGCTGCAGTGCAGTGGCTATTCACAGGCATAATCATACTGCACCATAGCCTTGTTAGATATGAGTTCTAAATTTCTTTTCAAAGAATTAATGTCAGTATGTTCAATTATTTGCCTTCTACTTTTAAACTTAACTTCCTCGTAAAGCTACCTTTTTCGATTACCTACTCCACTCTGACTCATTCTGGTCACCTACTCCACCCTAACTCATTCTGATTACCTGCTACCTGCCCTGCCCTGACTCCTGCCAAAGCACACACCCTGTCATTCTCTTTAAATTAGCCAATTGGAATTAGTTTAGCCTGTGAGGTCTAACCCTAGCCAATAGGGGAACCACACAGCAGCAGGGGCCACGTGTGTCAGGGATAAGAACCCCTTCCCCTCCCTTATCCAAGTGTGCGCTCACCATTGCTCCATCTGTAAGGGCACACCCTTCTATTGAAGTACCTTGCCTTGCTGAGAATTAAAAAGAAAATTTTATATTCGAGTGCTATTTCTTTTGCGGCACCGAACCTTTATATATAACAACCTCAAACTCCTGGGCTTAAGTGATCCTCCTGCCTCAGCCTCTAAAGTAGTTGGGACTACAGGCTCCTGTTACTGCCTCTGGCTTTTGTACAAGTTTTTTTGTTGTTGTTGCTTGTTTTGTTGTTGTTGTTTTTTTTTTTAGACAGAGCCTTGCTCTGTTGCCAGGCTGGAGTACAGTGGCGCAATCTTGGCCCACTGCAACCTCCGCCTCCTGGGTTCAGGCGATTCTCCTGCCTCAGCCTCCTGAGTAGCTGGGACTACAGGCATGTGCCACCACACCCAGCTAATATTTTGTATTTTAGTAGAGATGGAGTTTCACCATGTTGGCCAGGATGGTCTCAATCTCCTGACCTCGTAATCTGCCAGCCTCGGCCTTCCAAAGTGCTGGGATTACTGGCATGAGCCACCATGCCCGGCCTTGTACAAGTTTTAACATGTGGAAGTTCGTTTTTTGTTTTGTTTTTTTGAGGCAGAGTCTTGCTAGGTCACCAGGCTGGAGTGCAGTGGCGCGATCTCGGCACACTGCAACCTCCACCTCCCAAGTTAAAGCAATTTTCTTGCCTCAGCCTCCCAAGTAGCTGGGACTACAGGTGCGTGCCACCACGCCCGGCTAATTTTTGTATTTGTAGTAGAAGCGGGGTTTCACCATGTTGGCCAAGATTGTCTCAATCTCTTGACCTCATGATCCGCCCACCTCCGCCTCTCAAAGTGCTGGGATTACAGGCGTGAGCCACTGCGCCCGGCCAACATGTGGAAGTTCGAACATGTATTTCCCTGGTTGATTAACAAGACAGAACATTTTTCATATGCTTTTGACCATTTAGATTTCCTCTGTGGGGAAGTGCCTGCTTAAGTATTTTGCTGATTTTCCAATTGTGTGTGTGTGTGTGTTTTCATCATATTGATTTGCAGTACCTTTTAAAATCTAGATACACATCCTCTTCAGTTACTTGTGTTACATATATTTTCCCCAAAATTAATCTATTAAAAATGCATATCAGATCCTGTCATGTCCTTGTTCAGAGCAACCCTCCAACATTCTCCCAATTGCACTTAGCTGTAACCAAATCTCTATGATTCTCAAGGCACTATGTGATCTAGTCCCTGCCTACCTCTCTGTCTTTATCTCCTTCCCTAAGCTTCAGCAACACTGGCCTTCTTTTCCTTCCTCAATTACGTGTGTGAGACAGACTTGCACTCCCTCTTTTGCACAGTTTGGACAAGTGCCAGTTCTTAGTGAATGCTCAGTTGCACCTCTGCACTTCTGCAGGAAGTTGAAAGGCCCACCTGCAATGTTCATAACCTAGCTCTGATAAAATGTTTTCTGGCAGTTGTGCAAACCCAGGAAAAAAAAATTATAATGAAAATAACCCCACCCATAAAAAGGTAAGAGAAAATTAGGTAATATCTATTGCTAAGGCTTATATCCAATGGAAAAGCACCAATTTAAGTAGTAGACCAGATGTCACACATTAGGAGAATTAGTAAGTATAGAAGAAGCCCTGTAAGTCGGGTGCGGTGGCTCACACCTGTAATCCCAACACTTTGGGAGGCTGAGGCAGGAGAATCACTTGAGTCCAGGATTTCAAGACCAGCCTGGGCAATATATTAAGATCCTATCTCTACAAAAAATTACGATAAATAAAATAAGAAGAAGCCCTTCAGATGAGGCAAAGTCCCACCTAATCCTGGCTGCAGGTCTATTGAAGGCCACATATTCTGAGCAGCTTGAAGCCTAGGAAAACTGCATTCCTGGGAAAAAAACACCGATAGGAAATATCCCACCTGAAAATATAGGGTATTTCTCTATCTTCCATTAGAAGCTCGGTACTTAAGTTCCATACTGTTTTTTAGCAGATTAACAATAATTAAAGGTCTATTATGAAAATTTTTCACTGAATCTGACCCAGTCAAACCATTCTTATAATTCATATCAAGCTTGTCTTGTCTCAAGGTATTACATTACTATTCTTTTTTTAAATAGCAGCTTTATTAAGGTATGATTCATATACCATACAATTCACCCATTTAAAGTATATATTTTTAGTATATTCACAGAATTGTACAATTATCACCACAATCAATTTTAGAACATTTTCATCACCCCAAAAAGAAACTCTGTACCTCTAAGCAGTATATTTGCTCTTCCTTACCCACCCCACGGATTGCTAGTCCGCAGATTTCACAAGTCTGACAATTTCTTGGCAAATCTCAAGTAAAACATTGCCTCTCTAGAGAGACCACCTTACTACCCCTTTTAATTCTTCCTTGAATCTGTGGAGGATGGTGCTTGTTGTTTATAGTCATTCCTTCTCCCTTCCTCTTCTTTTTTAACAGAATCCTGATTTTGTTCAGGTATCAGATGGCCATGTGCTATAGGGGTATTCAGACTCATGCCCATCCTGAGGGATGAATTATGATTGATCTAAGTCATATCTCATTTCCCTTGGTAATGATTGGTTTAATCATAGCAAGTGCCATAGTACTGAGGATGCTGCTGTGAGTTCTTCTAGGCAAAGATTTTGTGTTCTTAACAAGAGAGATGTGAGAAAAATACAAGTACATGTTACCTGCCTCCAGGAACTTTAGTGTTCTCCTACCCTACCCTACAGTGTTATATTTCATTCAACAAACAACTGAGTGCTTAGTATGTGACAATGCATTGCTTATTTCTTAAACAGTGGCAAAAACAAATGCTTGAGAATCAGAAATATACTCAATTTTACTTTCTGTCTAACATGTCTAATGCCAATTCCAGCTGTCACATGCGTATTTCACAAGTAAAATGGAATAAGTCAAATAAGAGGCTCAAAGTAAAGCAATGAACTAGAATTTTCCTAACTTGCATCCTCAGTGCAAGGATGTATTGCTTGGACCTGCAGAGCCATCTTGAAAGCATGAGAGGAAAACTCAAGGGAATCACAGAGGTTCTGAGCAGGAATTATAATGTCATTAAGCCACTGAACAACCAACCCTGGAACTATCCTATTCTGACCTCCCTCCTCTTATTCTGACCTCCCTCCCTCCCCCGCTTCCTCTCTTCCTCTCTTCCTTCTCCTTCCTTCCTTTTCTCTCTCTTTTTTTTTTTTTTTTTTTTTTTGAGACAGTGTCTCACTCTGTTGTCCACTGGAGTGCAGTGGCACAGTCTTGGCTCATTGCAGCTTTGACCCCCCCCAGGCTCAAGCGATCCACTCACCTCAGCGTCCTAAGTAGCTGGGACTACAGGCATGTGCCACCACAGCTGGATATATATATATATATATTTGGAAGAGATGAGGTTTTCCCATATTGCCCAGTCTGGCATTCTGACTTTTCATGTGAGATTAAAACCTTATTTTTTTCTAGGACATAACCAAACACAATAATATTTGCAGTGGAAGGCTTTGTGGTTTGTGGTGGAAAGACTCTTAGTTGGCCCCACGATCCTTGCCTCCCCTTATGTGATCCTTTCCCCTTAGTGTGGGCAGGATCTGTGGCTCGCTTCTAACTGAAAGAAACAGTAAAGATGATGGGATGTATGTGATTGTGTGTACATGATTGGGGTCATGTTACATAAGATGGTAGCACCCATCTTTCTCCCCCTCCCCCAGTTTAGCTTTGAGGGCGCAGATGGCCATGTTAGAGGACTCTGCATGGCAAGAAATACAGGCAGCCTCTCAGAGCTGAGGGCAGCCTCCAGCCAACAGCCAACAAAAAACTTGAAGCTCTCAGTCCTACGACCTCAAGGAACTGAATTCTGCCATTAACATGAGTGAACTTGGAAGTGAGTCCTTCCCCATCTGAACCCAGGTGAGACTGCAGTCCCTGATGACAGCTCGATTGTAGCCTTTTGAGACCATAAGCAGAGGACCCAGTCAAGCCATGCTCAGACTCCTGCTACTTGGTAAATGTGTATTGTTACAAAACAATGAAACGCTAATAAGGGTATGGCTATTCACACCTTTTCCCCCTAATTTTTAAAATTTATCAATAAAAATTATTATTAAAAAATATAAATAGGCTGGGCGTGGTGGCTCACGCCTGTAATCCCAGCACTTTGGGAGGCCGGGGTGGGCGGATCACCTGAGATCAGGAATTCGAGACCAGCCTGGCCAACATGGTGAAACCCCGTCTCTACTAAAAATACAAAAATTAGCTGGGCATGATGGTGGGCGCCTATAATCCCAGCTACTCGGGAGGCTGAGGCAGGAGAATCACTTGAACCCGGGAGGCGAAGGTTGCAGTGAGCCGAGATCGTGCCACTGCACTCCAGCCTGGGTGACAGAGCAAGACTCCATCTCAACAAAGAAACAAACAATTAAACAAACAAACCAAAAAAATATATAATTTAAATAGCTTCACTCTCCTGTTCACCTGTTCAACTCCTCACTCCTCTTCCCATTCATTAATTGATTCCACATTTATCCACTCTTCACACAGAAGAGTCTGGGCAGCAAATACAGGAAAATCCTTTTGGCTTCAGAGTTTTTTGGGCTTCCAAATTGCAGATAAAGGACTGTGGGCTTTTAGTATATAGCCATAGAATCACTGGGGGATGGAACAAGACACTATTTGTAAAGGCTTGGAACAAGATTCAGCACA
The DNA here is from genome assembly GCF_000001405.40 of Homo sapiens. Taxonomy (NCBI): domain Eukaryota; kingdom Metazoa; phylum Chordata; class Mammalia; order Primates; family Hominidae; genus Homo; species Homo sapiens. The sequence continues at coordinate 31,739,718 of NC_000012.12, read as the reverse complement.
CAGGAAGGGCTCAATAAATAATAGCTGTTATGGTGATTAGAATTAGAACTCCTGGGGCAGGTCTCTCTGACTGCTCTGTTACTCCTTGCAAGTCACTTCCTTTCTCCGGGCCTCAGTTTCCCCATTTTTAATAGGAGGGCCCCTCAGAGAAGCTCTCAAAAAGAGGGTTGAGCTCCTGTTCTGGAGGTGGCTCTGGACTGGGTGCTCATGAGCTGCAATACGAATTGCTCCTGAGCGAATGGTACACAGTCTGTTTGCGGCCTTAGTTTGTGGCAAGCCTGGGGAAATGGCTTCTCCTTGCCTAATCTCAGGTTCTCTACTGTCAAATGGGGCCAGAAGGTCACTCCCACCTAAACACATGAGAAAAGAGGCAGGACAAGGTGTACTCACTCTGGACTGGGCTTGTTTGTTTTTTAAAATATCATTTGAGGGGAAGAACAGATGCAAGGGTTTGCCTGGCTTCTCCTCATATACACAAAAGAACCCCCCACCACCCTAATCCCAACCCCCATCTCCACCCCAGCACAGAGCAGAGAGGAGTGACTCCTTGTCTCTGGCCTAGTCTTCTGTGCAATTGGAGTGAGGGCTGCAGGTCTTCACCTGCCCAGACCACCACACCCACCTCTGCATTCCCCATTTCTTTTTTTTCCTTATTTATTTATTTATTTTTGAGACAGAGTCTCGTTCTATCGTCCAGGCTAGAGTGCAATGGCACGATCTCGGCTCACTGCAACCTCCACCTCCAGGGTTCCAGCAATTCTCCTGCCTCAGCCTCCCAAGTAGCTGGGATTACAGGCGCATACCACCACACCCAGCTAATTTTTGTATTTTTAGTAGAGATGGGGTTTCTCCATGTTGGCCAGGCTGGTCTGGAACTTCTGAGCTCAAATGATTCACCCCCCTTGGTCTCCCAAAGTGCTGGGATTACAGGCGTGAGCCACTGCTTCCCCATTTCTTATGCAGTAATGATCTCTATCAGTGTTCCTCTCCTACCTCCCCCACCAGACTGTGAGTTCACGCCTAGCACCCTGCGTGTACCTCGATAAATGTGGAATCAATGAACAAATGGGAAGAGGAGTGAGGAGTTTACCAGGTGAACAGGAGAGTCAGACAACACTTTCAGCCTGGGCGTGCACTCAGTTGACAGCCCCACAGATGTTCAGCAGTGGTCAAATTTGAGTACATTTTGAAGACTGAGCCCAGAAACTCATTGAAGGATTAGAGGCAAGGAGGTAGAGATTGGAAAGAGACAAATCAAAGCTTTGTTCATTCATTCATTTTCAATTAGTAATTATTGGTTATTCACTAGGTATCATGTACTGTTTAAAGTGTTTCAGGCACAGTGGCAAACAAAAGAAAAGTCCCTGATTTCAAGGAACTTACATTCTAATTGATGGAGACAAGCAACAAACAAACAAATTAAGATATTACAGAGTGTTAACTGCTAAGAGAAAGGTAAAAGAGGGTGATGTAACAGATTTTTAGGAAGAATACATGTGGCTGAAAACCCAACTCAAAATGGGGTGTCTCATAATATCCAGTCATATGTACCATAATAGCTTTCTAAAATCTTGAAAATTTTGAATTCTGAGAATTGCCTGTCCTCATGCACTTTGAATAGGCTTTATATTACTATCCCCATATTACAGGTGAAAAAATAGAATTACTAAGGAGTCAAGTGATTCATTTTAGGCCAAAATAAGGATTCAGAAGCTGTAGTCAGAGACCAAGCTCTTAGTGACACAGCCTCCGTGGTTCTGAGATTCAAGAGCCTGTGATACTAAGATATCAAGTGTTATCACTGTCATCACAGCAATGCAAGATTGAAGGCAACAGATCCAGGCCCAAAGGTCCTGCAGATGCAATGCTGCTTGCCACCACCATCACCTCCTTCTCGGTCCCTGAAGGGCTTCCCACCTTGTGAGGAAGCTAAAGATTCTAGAGGGGATTAAGGAGAGGCATAGCCTTCGGGGAAGCCACCACCAGGCTCTAACCTATTCAAAACATGCTGCAATTCACTCCCCAAAGCCCCCTCCATTCTTCACACTGCCGCCCAAATGGTATTGAGGTAGGAGGTGGGACTCAACTCCAGACCAGATTGAAGACTGGCTGAAACAGAGAAGCATGGAAAGCACTTCTTCATAAGACACTCCTACCAGTGACGCGACAGTTTACCATTGCTGTGGCAACACCTAGAAGTTAGCACCACTCTCTCTGGCAATGACCTGGAAATTACCACCCCTTTTCTAGAAATTTCTGAATTACCTGCCCCTTGATTTGCATGTAATTAGAAGTGGGTATAAACATGATTAGAGAACTGCCTCTGAGCTGCTCCTCTCAATACACTGCCTATGGGGTAGCTCCGCTCTGCAGGAGCAGTCATGGAGCTGTCACACTGCCACATCAGAAAAGCTGTTTTCTGGCTGGGCATGGTGGCTCACACCGTAATCCCAGCATTTTGGGAGGCCAAGGTGGGAGAATCAGCTGAGGTCAGGAGTTCGAGACTGGCCTGGACAACATGGTGAAACCCCATCTCTACTAAAAATACAAAAAATATCCAGGCGTGGTGGGGAGCACCTATAATCCCAGCTTATTGGGAGGCTGAGGCACGAGAATTTCTTGAACCCAGGAGGTGGAGGCTGCAGTGAGCTGAGATCATGCCACTGTACTCCAGCCTGTGTGACAGAGCGAGACCATGTCTCAAAAACAAACAAACAAACAAACAAACCTGTTTTCTACTATCAGCTCACCCTTGAATTATTTCCTGGGTAAAGCCAAGGACTTCCCCAGGCTAAGCCCCAATTTTGGGGCTCACCTGTGTTGCACGGGTATCATTCCCCTTCTTTAAAACTTCAATACTGTCATTTCATTTTGAATAAGATTCAAAGTCAGGTGTGCAAGTGAGTGTGTGTGTCTGTGTGTGTGTGTTGCTTCTTCACAGCCCTGATGCATCAAAGTTAGTTTGGGTTTTTTTGTTGCTATGTTTTTTTAGAGATAAGGTCTTTCTCTGCTCTGTCAAAGACTTCAGGAAGAAAAAAAGAAAAAGAGGGCCTCACTCACTCTGTTGTCTAGGCTACAGTGCAGTGGCATGATCATAACTCACAGCAACCTCAAACTCCTGGGCTCCAGGGATCCTCCCACCTCAGCTATGACTACAAGCATGAGCCACCATGCCTGAATCAGACAGTTTGTTTGGGGGTTTTTTTTGTCTTTTTTTTTTTTTTTTTTTTTTTAAGATGGAGTCTGGCTCTGTTGCCTGGGCTGGAGTGCAGTGGCACGATCTCGGCTCACTGCAACCTCTGCCTCCCAGGTTCATGCCATTCTCCTGCCTCAGCCTCCCAAGTAGCTGGGACTACAGGTGCCCGCCACCAAACCTGGCTAATTTTTTGTATTTTTAGTAGAGATGGGGTTTCACTCTGTTAGCCAGGATGGTCTCCATCTCCTGACCTCATGATCCGCCCACCTCGGCCTCCCAAAGTGCTGGGATTACAGGTGTGAGCCACCGCGCCTGGCTTCTTTTTTTTTGAGACGGAGTCTCACTCTGTCACCCAGGCTGGAGTGCAGTGGCACAATCTTGGCTCACTGTAACCTCCACCTCCCGGGTTCAAGCAATTCCCCTGCCTCAGCCTCCCAAGTAGCTGGGACTTCATGTGCACGCCACCACACCCGGCTAATTTTTGTATTTTTAGTAGAGACAGGGTTTCACCATGTTGGTCAGGCTGGTCTCGAACTCCTGACCTCAAGTGATCTGCCTACCTCAGCCTCCCAAAGTGCTGGGATTACAGGCATCAGTCACTGCACCCAGCTGTTTTTTTTTTTTTTTTTTTTTTTTGAGACAGAGTCTGGCTCTGTCACTCAGGCTGGAGTGCAGTGGTGCCATCTTGGCTTACTACAACCTCTGCCTCTGAGGTTGAAGAGATTCTTGTGTCTCAGCCTTCCGAGTGGCTGGGATTACAGGCACCTGCCACCACATGCCAGGCTACATTTTGTATTTTTAGTAGAGATGGGGTTTCGCCATGTTGGCCAGGCTGGTCTCAAACTCCTGACCTCAAGTGATCCACCTGCCTCAGCCTCCCAACGTGCTGGGATTACAGGCGTGAGACACCAGGCCTGGCCCAAAGACAGTTTTTTGATCGTCAAGGTTTTACCTGATTTGGGCCCAGGCTCAGCCAATCCCATTTCCTCCTACTCCCTGCTCCATTCAGCCACACTGACCTCCTTCTGTCCTTCAAATGCTATCAAGCACATTTTTACTTCAGTGCCTTTCTTTTCCCTCTGTCTCTAAATCTCTGCATAGCTGCCTCCTTTTTAATCCTCAGATCTCAGCAGAAGTGTCACAGCGTCAGAGAAGCCTTCCATGACCACCTGAGCAAAAATAAATCTCTCTCTTTCTCTCAATCCGTCCTCCCCATCTTGTTCTTTATAGTTCGTATCTCCATATGCTGTTTTGTTTGTGTGCTTTTCTATCTCTCACACTAGAGTGTAAGCTCCTAGAGGACATATTCATGTACTGATACATCCCACCTGGTATATAACAGGTATTAAATATTTGTTTGAATGAATGTAAGTAATGGGGTTTGAAAGTCTGATTATCTGACAGAAATACCAGGCATTTGATTCCATTGCAATAACCAGTAATTGTGAGTTAGGAATTACATAACTTTCTAAAAATAAAAATAACAAGTGAAGCTAATCAAAAAAAGATGGTGGTTTAAGCTGTCATTGCGCTGGCTCCCAGCATCTTAGTGAAAGACCACAATTGTCATCCCTCTCACTGTTATGAAACTATAATAGGCTGGGCACAGTGGCTCGCGCCTGTAATCCCAGCACTTTGGGAGGCTGAGGCGGGAGGATCACCTGAGGTCAGGAGTTGAAGACCAGCCTGGCCAACATGGTGAAACCCCATCTCTACCAAAAATACAAAAAAAATTAGCTGGGCTTGGTGGTGGGCTCCTATAATCCCAGCTACTTGGGAGGCTGAGGCAGGAGAATCACATGAACCCAGGAGGCGGAGATTGCAGTGAGCCAAGATCACACCACTGCACTCTAGCCTGGGCGAGAGTGTGAGACTGTCTCAAAAAAAAAAGAAAAAAAGGAAACTATAATAATTATTATTTTGGCTCAGATGAAGCTATTCTTATTAATTTTCAAAATGTTTTTGATATTTAATCCCTTTACCAAAAAAATCAGTAATCTGTTGATGAGTTACTTATTTTCTAATTTCTCTCCTTCTCTACTCTAGGCTCTGAGAAGCTGACTTTTATTGATCGCATAAACGGGGATGCTTTGAGCTCTAACTTCTGGTTGGCTGAAGCAATGACAGCCGACAGCAGGACATCAAAAAGGGGATGAAGAATGGAGCTTGAAGGGTATTCCTGTAGCCCCTTCCTGGCTGGATCACAACAGGCTGGCTAGGTTGCCTTATCAAACTGAAACCGCCTTTGCAAAATTATCACTGAGACGGTGAAAGAGTTTTAACTTAACCGACTCCATCTTGCTTCTAACCTCCTTGTTCGTTCAGCATAGGCTGAACTAACTTTGAGAGAAACTTATAGTTTAAAACAAAGATGATAACAGCCCTTTCCCAAAGCACACCTCCTTCTTGCCTGGGGACTAGATTCCCTTTGTAGGACTAACATTAGCTACAAGATTAGAAATTATGGTTTAAGAGTCATGCAACTAGAGGCTTCAAGATTTTCTTCAAATATCTCAGTGCTTGAGATATTTTCCAGACCCTGCAATTGCCGGATCAGCTGGCACCACCCAGATGGATAAACTGGCTAATCTGATCTTGTGGCTCCCACCCAGGAAGTGACTCAGCACAAGAAGACAGCTTCAACTCCCTATGATTTCATTTCCGTCCTGACCAATCAGCACTCCCGGGTCACTGGCTTCCCCCAACCCACCAATTTATCCTTAAAGATTCTGCTCCTGGCTGGGCGTGGTGACTCGCACCTGTAATCCCAGCACTTTTGGAGGTTGAGGTGGGTGGATCACCCGAGGTCAGGAGTTCGAGACCAGCCTGACCAACATAGTGAAACCCCGTCTCTATTAAAAATACAAAATTAGCCGGGCGTGGTGGCACATGCCTGTAATCTCAGCTACTTGGTAGGCTGAGGCAGGAGAATCACTTGAACCCAGGAGGCAGAGGTTGCAGTGAGCCAAGACAGCGCCACTGCACTCCAGCCTGGGTGACAGAGCAAGACTCTGAAAAAAAAACACAAACAAAAAAAAACTCTGCTCCCCAAATGCTTGGGGAGACTGATTTGAGTAATAATAAAACTGTCTCCCGCACAGCTGGCTCTGTGTGAATTACTCTTTCTCTATTGTAATTCCCCCGTCTTGATGAATCAGTTCTTTCTAGGCAGGGGGCAAGGTGAACCCCTTAGGCGGTTACAAATTCAAAGGCCACAGTTCCTTTCAGGTGGCTTCACCTGTGGTCACTCTGGCAAGGTTTTGGTTTTGCCCTCCAGGACCAGAAGAGGTAAGGTCTTCCTGCTATTGTAGCGCTATGGTATTGAACTACCTTTACCCTTGCTCTGCCCTAACTCTGTCCACACCTTTGGGAACAGCTCCTTTATTAACATCTCCTTGCTTCTCCTGTTTGAACTTGCCCAACTCTTAACCTGCTTGGATCCTGAGTCATCCATTGTATGACTCAGACTCCTGAGAATTTGAAAGTCACAGATCTCTAACCTAGAAACAAAGCAAGTGTTTCTAGCCAATGGGAAATTTCAACAATGTATAACAATCCATGAGCATGGGCACTGTTATTTCCAATTTGGAGTGTGATATTATAAAACAAGCTATGAAAAGAAACTAAATAAAAAGACGTGTTATTTTCTCAAAGGACACTTGGAGAGTTAAGAGCAATCCTATTTGAAAATAACCTACACATGGTAGGATAATAAAGTAGGGGCTCACTTGGCTTAGCTCCGTTCTGTTCTTGTGAAAGCACACATTCATATAAATAAGATATACTTGTTTTATATATATTTATTGTATTTTAAAACATGGGTCCACATACAGCTCATATATTACATTATGAATTAACAGCATGATTTAAGAAAAGTAATTTTGTTAATTATTTTTATAAAACAAACCCAGAGGCCGGGTACGGTGGCTCACGCCTGTAATCCCAGCACTTTGGGAGGTCGAGGTAGGTGGATCACAAGGTCAGGAGTTCGACACCAGCCTAGCCAATATGGTGAAACCTCGTCTCTACTAAAAATACAAAAAAAAAAAAATTAGCCTGGCATGGTGGCACATGCCTGTAATCCCAGCTACTTGGGAGGCTGAGGCGGGAGAATTGCTTGAATCCGAGAGGCAGAGGTTGCAGTGAGCCGAGATTGCGCCACTGCACTCCAGCCTGGAGTAAAGTAAAACAAACCCACAGCAACAATCTATGATAACGTTTACTTTGTATGGTAGCTATGGTAGGAAGTGGAGGAGATTCTGAGCTAGAGGAAACTATATTAAAGTGGGCACAGCAAACAGAGAGGAGAAAAGGAAAATATCTTGCCCTTAGCCTAACCCTGCCTACAAATCACTTACCATACACTAGAAAAGACTTTCATTCCCAATAACTTTGCATTCAAAGATAAACCATGAATAGCGGGAACCTCCTAAAAGCCTTGACTAACGGGAAATCCTAAAAGCTTTGCCTCCAGAGATAAGCCACAAAAACAAGAACATCCTGTTTTCCTTACCACAAAACAGGAACATCTTGTTCTTATCCAATTGGAATGAACTGCCATATCTGAGCTATAAATATCTGCCATTTCATCTGAGCTATAAATTCCTCTATTCTATTTAGCGAGCCACTCTCTGAAAGTCTGATTTTCTTGAACTGCAAGTAAAAATGTCTCTCTGTGCTCATATTTGTCTTTGATTTTTATTTTGACATAGGGTTCCTGAACTGATTTTTGGGGGGGGGAATCCTGAAGTTGGACGCACCCAGGGCTGGCTTCATGGGTGGGCAAAATGTGCAGTCACACGGGCCCCACTCTGGGTTTAGTGCTCTGCTATCACCATCTTAAAATTCGTAATTTCTTTGTTTTTTTTGAGGTAGAGTCTCACTCTTGTTGCCCAGGCTGGAGTACAGTGGTGTGATCTCGGCTCAGTGCAACCTCCGCCTCCTGGGTTCAAGCAATTCTCCTGCCTCAGCCTCCTGAGTAGCTGGGATTACAGGCACCTGCCACCACGCCCAGCTAATTTTTTTGTACTTTTAGTAGAGTTTCTCCATATTGCCCAGGCTGGTCTCGAACTCCTAACCTCAGCTGATCCGCCCACCTTGGCCTCCCAAAGTGCTGGGATTACAGGCGTGAGGCATGTGCATTTTAGCTTTCTAGATCAGGTGAGGGCACATGGACAAATGGCTCAAGGGTCAAATCCAGTCCACTGTCTGTTTTTGTATAGCTTGCAACTTAAGGATGGCTTTTACATTTTTCAGTGGCTGAAAAAGATCAAAAGATGAGTATTTCATGACAGTTGAAAATTACATAAAATTCAAACTTCAGTGTTTAGGATAAGGTTTTATTGGAACAGAGACCCACCCATTCATACTGTCTATGGCTAATTTTAAGATACAAGTTGAATAGCTGTGACCAAGCCAGCATGACCCACAAAACCTAAAATATTTCTTGTTTGGCTCTGGGAAGCTAAAAGACAACAAAGAAAGAATTCTCCAAAGATACTGAGTTTCTTTGGGAGTGAACAAAAAGAATTATAATCCAAGATGTACAGCTATGGCAAGCCACGGGTCTGGAGAAGGGAAGAATAGGGGGAAGATTTTACTGGTAAAGGAGGGAAGTTCACATAAACTCTTGGAAACTAAGTTGATTGGTTCCCAAGGCTCAAATCAAGAATTGGAGTCCGTTCATTGGTGGAGGTCCTGCTGCTGGGCCAAACGTCCTTTCGACAGTATCTTATCTGAACTGCTGCAGTTTTAAAGAATATTTAGCAATAAATCTTGTCATAGAAATGTGCGCATATTTGCAAAACAAGCAAGTTGTGCAAAACATTAAATGCATGAAAGATGTGAAGAAATTGTGGGTTTTTTGGTTTATTTTTTAAAGTCCTTGAGGCAGTTCGTTCTTTCTTTTTTTTTTTTTTTGAGACGGAGTCTTGCTCTGTCGCCCAGGCTGGAGTGCAGTGGCACGATCTCGGCTCACTATAACCTCCTCCGAGTTCAAGCGATTCTCCTGCCTCAGCCTCCTCAGTAGCTGGGATTACAGGCGCCCGCCACCACACCCAGTTTTTTTTTTTTTTTTTTGTATTTTTAGTAGAGACGGGAATTTCACCACGTTGGCCAGGCTGGTCTCAAACTCCTGACCTCGTGATCCGCCCGCCTCGGCCTCCCAAAGTACTAGGATTACAGGTGTGAGCCACCGCGTCTGGCCTTGAGACAGTTCTTATCTCAGACATACAAGCATGAGTTTCCTTCCTTTCTGGTCTCTAGGCTCCAATTTGTCTGGGTCTGACAATAGTTACTTCTCCTGGAATCTGCAACTTTCAGAGCACTTTATGGAAAAAGTCGGCCAACCCCTGCCCTACACTCACTCTTGATCACTCTCCAGTGTAGCCATCCCAAACTATTTGCAGACCACCCTTTTCTCTCTGATCTGTATCCCACCCCCATGGGTGCTTCCATAGAACTAACCCCATCTAAGCATTTAACAGTTATTCTAATTGCCCTTTTACTTGTCTGACCCAAGTGTTCGCCACTCAATCCTCAGCACCCAGCACGATCCCTAGCCCTCGTTCAGCGCTTAATAAATCCATGTTGATTCAATGTGTAGCATCCTGAACAGGCAACAGCAGTGGGTTCCAACTTTCAAGGAGCTTAAAAAAGGAACTCAGCATACAAACAACAGACTAATCTACAAGGAAGAATGAGGGGGGTGGAGGGAGCACTAAAAAGCAGCAAGTACTCTGCAGCAGAACCAAAGATAAAATTCCACCTAAAGGTGCCCTTTCTTCAGGATCCTTCCTAATTTGAATACAGGTTCCCTTCTCCTCCATGACGAAATTCTTAGTGAGGTTACTTGTTGGTACGCAGTGTCCTCATCTGTAAAATAAGGCTAAATAATTACGATTTCACCGGATTATAATGAATATGGTTAAGTATTGAACTAAGGCCTAGAAAGCACGTAGCTCAGTGCACGCTTCCTAGAAAGTGCTCAGTAAACTCGGATCCTCTAACACGCTCCGTTTGATGTTAATGGAGTCCGTATCCGAGCGGGTCTCCAGTGTGCATCGCCAAGGGTATGGCCCAGCATCCAACGCATCCTTTTAGTAAGAGTAGCGACTTCTCAGCGCTCCCTTCGCCCCAGGAGAGTTCTCGGCTCGCGGCGTCGCGGCGGGGCTGCGCGCTGGGCTGAACTCCCAAGAAACCTCCTGCAGCTGAACCGGAGCAGACGCCCGCCAGGTGAAAGAACTACAACTCCCGTCACGTTGCATCCGAGTTTAGGGCCTCTTTATAGTTTATCACACCCAGCCTCTTCCGCGCAGCCCTCAGTGGCTCCGCCCCAAAGGGGGCTCTCTTCTTTCCTTGTGGAGTCCGAAGCGTGGCCACGCCCCGGTCACCGGAAAAATCCGTGTGACGTCACAAAAACCTACGCGTCGCGCGGTGGGCGGGAGTTGGCGGACGGTCCCTGGCTGGGTTCTGGAGGCCCTGGGACCGCGGAAGAGGCTTCAGACGCTGCAGCGATGCCTCGCCCACGGCGGGTCAGTCAGCTCCTGGATCTGTGAGTCTACCCTGTCCCGCCTCCCTTCGCGCCGCCCCAGCACCTCCTCCAAACGGCCAGGCCCTGCGCTGCTCTTCCTCCCCGCCCCTTTCCCACCCCCCCCGCCGACCTCTGAAGAGGCCCCGCGTGTGTTTCTGTCCCTGGGTTCCTGATCTGTCGTTTCCTGGCTGAGGACAGTTGTGCAAAGTGGGTCTCTTGGCGGGCTTGCCCCTCCAACACTCCGCTGCGCGATGAGCGTCCATTCCTCCGTCAGCCTTGACAGCTCGGCGCCCCGGCTGTTACTGGCAGTGGCCTCTCTCTTAGCAGCTAAAAGCCTTGGTAGAAAAAAACACAACGCTAGATGAGGTTCTCAAAAGCTTCTAGCAGAATTCCACCCCTGTAACTGGAATAAACATTGACAGACCCTGGGATAAAGGTAACAAAGTGGTTAAGACCACGGATCCCTGGCTGAGATTGCTGGGTTCAGCCCCCGGCTCTGCCATTCACCAGCCACGTGACCATGGACCGGTAACGTAACCTCTCCCTGTGCCTAGGTTCTTTATCTATAAAATTTTTGTGATAATAGCACCCATCACATGGAGTTGTCCTGAGGGATAAATTTAAAACATGTAAAACCCTTATAAGGATGCCCAGCAAATAATAAACACCACTAAGTGTTATTGTTATTATTATTTCCTACCAGAAATTGTACGGAAATGGAAGTTACAAGGGCAATTGCGTCTCTCCAGGAGCTTTCAGTCCGTTAATATTGCCATGTAAAAAATAGACATCTTAAGGATAAGGAGAACAATCTCCTTAATCTACTGAAGGCTTTCTGAAACAATGGCATCTGATATTTTACATTAAACTTGGGAGGCCGAGGTGGGAGAACTGCTTGAGCTCAGGAGTTCGAGACCAGCCTGGGCAACGTGGCGAAACCCCGCCTCTACTAAAGATACAAAAATTATCTGGGCACGGTGGTTCACGCCTGTAATCCCAGCACTTTGGGAGGCCGAGGCACTTGAGATCAGGAGAGTTGGAGACCAGCCTAGCCAGCACGGCAAAACCGCGGCATGTACTAAAAATACAAAAATTAGCCAGGAGTAGTAGTGGCGCCGGTAGTCCCAGCTACTCTGGAGGCTGAGGCAGGAGAATCGCCTCAACCCAGGAGGCAGAGGTTGCAGTGAGCTGAGATCGCGCCACTGCACGCCTAGGCTGCTAGGCGACAGAGCGAGACTGTCTCAAAAAAATAAAATAAATAACTATAATATATGTAGAATAATATCACAAGCGGGAGAGTAACAAACTTTTGAAATTTCTAATAAGGAAAAGAATAGGAGAAAGCTTTGTCAAGGGGGTTATTTTTGAACATTGGTAGTATCTGACGGTTGCAAATGGGAGGAAATGTATCGTAGAGAGTGAAATAAAAAGAGTAAAGGTTTGACAGGCAGGAAAGGTAGAAATATGAGAGAAGACCAGAAAGTAGCGCTCCAATGTGAATGGAAGATACAATATGAATAGCACAGTAGTGAGACATAAAGCCAGGTCATTGGGAATAGAATCTTAGGGACCAGGATGAAGTAAGAGCATTTCCTCTTTCAGTCATGGGGAGCTATCAAAGGTTTTAGAACTGTACTGTGAGCAGAGAGAGATTTGAATTAGGCAGAAGTTGGAAATAGGGAGACACTTAGAAGACTGTTACAAAATCTTAAGAGGTGAAGAGCCCAAACCAGGAGACACATGAAGATGTTCTTTGCAGAATTATTTCTGGTGGCATGGAGCTGGAATGGGAGAGTTACCATGGAATATTATGCAGCTGTTAGAAAAGCAAAGGGTAGGCCAGGCATGGTGGCTCACACCTGTAATCCCAACATTTTGGGACCCTGAGGAGGGTGGATTGCTTGAGGCCAGGAGTTGGAGACCAGTCTAGGCAACATGGCAAAACCATGTCTCTACCAAAAATAAAAAGTTAGCCAATCTCATAACCTGGTCTCAAAATAAATAAATAAATAGATAAATAAATGAAAGAAAAGCAAAGAGTAGATTCATTTGGATAGAATTTTAAAACACAGTGCTTAGTGAAAAAAAGAGGAAACAGACTAACAATGTTAAGAAAAATTCTTCAGAACTTGGGGCTAAGACAGGGATGACTACATGATCTTCATTGTCATGCTAGAGTGTGGTCCCTAGGTAAAGGTCCATATTTGCCCTTAGAACCTAATTTTGTACCCTTCTGGGACAAGGTACAGTCTGAGACTGGCAGTTGGTCAGCAAGCTATTTCTGGTTTGTAACAAAGTAAGAAGCTTGAGCCAGACTAGTAATTAAGTGTGTCACTAAGCACATTATTTAGTCCAGCTGATGAGGCTTTCTCCATGAAGGAAACAGGGCTTGGTTTATGTTCTTGCATAAACTCCTTATCTCCTCACTGACCAGCACTTTAACACTGCTTTAGAGAATCCTTTGGATCTGGGACATGAATAGTTTTGAATAGAGGGACCGAGGAAAGAGAAGAATTAGAAATTACTCTTTTAGTTGGGGGCCGTGGCTCACGCCTGTAACCCCAGCACTTTGGAAGGCTGAGGCAGGTGGATCACCTGAGGTGGGGAGTTCGAGACTAGTCTGACCAACATGGAGAAACCCTGTCTCTACTAAAAATACAAAATTAGCCGGCCGTGGTGGTGCATGCCTGTAATCCCAGCTCCTTGGGAGGCTGAGGTGGGAGAATCGCTTGAACCTGGGAGGCAGAGGTTGCGGTGAGCCGAGCTTGCACCATTGCACTCCAGTTTGGGCAACAAGAGCGAAACTCCGTCCCCCCAAAAAAAAAAAAAAGAAATTACTCTTTTAGTTTTAGCTTCGTTGACAGGTAGAATGGTGATTAGACTATTATGGAGGAAGAAGTGTCTTACGGGGAAAATGAATCAGAATATCCAGTAGAAATATCAAGCAGGCAGTTAGAATATAATTTTGAATCTGAAAGAAAGATCAAGGATTAGGCTGGGTGCAGTGGCTCATGCCTGTAATCCCAACACTTTGGGAGGCCGAGGCAGGTGAATCACTTGAGGTCAGGAGTTCGAGACCAGCCTAGCCAACATGGTGAAACCCTGTCTCTACCAAAAATACAAAAAAAATTAACTGGGCATGGTGGTGCACATGTGTATTCCCAGCTACTTGGGAGGCTGAGACAGGAGAATTGCTTGAACCCAGGAGGCGGAGCTTGGAGTGAGCCAAGATGGTGCTACTGCACTCCAGCCTGGGCAACAGAGTGAGACTCCATCTCTAAATAAATAAATACATAAATACACAAATAAAATGAAGAGAGATCAAGGATTGAAACTAAGATTGGGGGTATAACTTTGTAGATGATAGGAAGCCATGGTTAAGTTTAAAAGAGGGCTATAGAGAGAAAAAAAGAAAGTCAAGGACAAAATTTTATGTAACACTTACATTAGAAGCAGTCCATGTTGCCAAAACTCTTTTATTTGTTAGATCAATTCACCATATGATGATTTGGCCAAATAGTAATAGGTTGTTTCTTTTAAGTATAAAACGTAGAGCAACTATTATTGGTTGGGATATCCACCCGTCTCCCCAATTGTTTTACAGCTTTTAAAGATTATAAGTTTTAGCTGACTTCTTTTCATTTTGTCTTGAGAAATGAGACTGCCTGTGCCAACTGTGGGGCCTGAGAATCAACACCACTTATGTCAACCTAACTTTTTGCTCTAGGAAATTTTTGCAAATCAGTTTATCTAAATAAACAGCTATCAGGACAAACATTTTGATTTTTAGGACAAACATTATGTTTATCTGGACAGATTGCTCATCAAGCCTGGCTTTTTGTGTCCATCCGTTTTAAACTAAGTCACAAACTTTGCCTAATCCTTACCCATTCGCCACTGTGGGGGGAGAAGCACCCACTTAAACTGGTGGCGTTTATATCCCAGAAACTTATGTATACTCTTGCCTAACATTCCTCTATTGAAATGCTACCAAAACCCTGTCAAGATGATCTCCCTTGCTGTAGTAAATGTAATACATGATTTGACAAATTTAATCAATTTGTTTGACCAGCAGGGTTTCTGGATGGGCTTTGTGGCCATTCAATAGTCCTCCCAGAATTTTAAGAACTATTTGATTTGTTTCTGTCCCAACTCCCTGCTATTGCAGCTGGAGGGAACTGGAGCAGAAAGAGGAAACCATTTACTTTGGGAAACACATGGTACAGCCTCTGCACTGCTGAGCTCAGAGAAGAGCATACTAAAGGGCTAAGATGAAAGAGACTGAGAGAAAAAGGTGGCGGTGGGGGGCAGAGAGCCATGTTGTAGGAAAAAGGTAACATATTGAAATATACCTGAAATCTTGCATAAAGCAAAATACAGTAGTCTCTCCTTATGTGCTGTTTTGTTTCGGCAGTTTCAGGTACCTGCAGTCAACCATGGTAAAAAAATATATATATATGTTAAATGGAAAATTCTAGGAAGAAACAATTCATAAATTTTAAATTATGCACCATTTTGAGTAGCATGATGAAATCTCATGCCACCCTGCCCTGTCTGCCCAGGATGTGAATTCTGCCTTCGTTCAGCATATCCATGCTGTCCATTTAGTAGCCTTCTTGGTTATCAGAGCTATTGTCGCAGGGCTACTGCATTCACATAACCCTGATATTACTTAACAATTGCACCAGAGCACAAGAGTACTGATGCTGGCATATTGTTACATGTATTTTTTATTTTTCCACCCAATCCTTGTAGATGTTGTTATAACTGTTCTATTTTATTGTTGTTGTTGTTCATCTCTTACTGTGCCTAATTTATATATTAAACTTTACCACAGGTATGTCTGCATAGTAAATGCAGGGTGTATATATAGGATTTAGGATTCAGTACTATCCATGATTTCAGGTGTCCACAGGGAGTCTTAGAATGTTTTTCCCATGGATAAAGGGGATCTGCTATATAACAGGAGTGATTGTCAGTCACTTCAAATGCTTTACTTTTCTCTAATCCCCTACTCACAGAGGTCATGTGCAAGAGGAACAAGAGCATTTTTATAAAGTTTACACAGACTTACCTTGTTTCCTTGCTTGACTGGTGTGGGTCACTGTAGGGGTACTTGGTGAGCAGTATCCTCAACCAAGTGGTAGTTATCTTTGTTATCTAGGGCAGGAGTTGGTAACCTTTCTGTGAAGGGCCAGAGAGTAATATTTTCAGCTTTGTAGGCTACACACCCTCTGACACAGTTACTCAGCTCTGCCATTGTAGAACACAAGCAGCCACAGACAACACATAAAGAAATGGCAGCAGCCTGAGGATGATAAGGGGTGTGAAACATCTGTTGAATACCTTGACTATCGGCTCATTGTTGAGCAACCTTTGCAGTAAAAGACCTATCATTGTCAGAGTGAAAGTGGTCTGCTTTGGGAGGCCGAGGCGGGTGGATCACGAGGTCAGGAGATCGAGACCATCCTGGCTAACATGGTGAAACCCTGTCTCTACTAAAAATACAAAAACTTAGCCGGGCATAGTGGCGGGCGCCTGTAGTCTCAGCTACTCAGGAGGCTGAGGCAGGAGAATGGTGTGAACCCAGGAGGCGGAGCTTGCAGTGAGCCGAGATCGCAGTGGTCTGGAAAACCAAAAACATAACACACTTTGATCAGTGTGGCTGGAGTTGGTTGATCAGACTGAAACCATGAAACCATAACCTGAAAAAATGTCAACAACTGTAACACATTAACAATAGCCCCAGGGGTGGTGTGTGTGTGCGTGTGTGTTTGTGTGTGTGTCAGTCAAAGGCAGTGTTCCAATAAAATTTGATTTCTTTCTTGTTTTTTGAGACGAGGTCTCACTCTGTTGCCCAGGCTGGAGTGCAGTGGCCCGATCTCAGCTCACTGCAACCTCTGCCTCCCAGGTTCAAGTGATTCTCCTGCCTCAGCCTCCCAAGTAGCTGGGATTACAGGCATGCACTACCACACCTGGCTAATTTTTTGTATTTTTAGTAGAGACAGGGTCTCACCAGCTTGGCCAGCCTGGTCTTGAGCTCCTGACTTCAGGTGATCTGCTTGCCTCAGCCTCCCAAAGTTCTGGGATTACAGGTGTGAGCCACCGTGCCAGGCGTAAAACTTGATTTCTGAAAACTAGCAGCTGGCTACATTTGTCCCACAGGTCATAGTTTGCTGACCCCTGATCCAGGTTTCAGTACAACAAGAGAATCCAGGTGGCTGAACCAGAATTAAGTTTGAATTTCCTAAGTTCCCTTTTGCCAGACTGCCACCCAGAGAGTGTACCAACCAGGCTGACTTGGAGTCATTGTTTGGAGAAAGAAAGCTGCATATCATGCCCAGGAATTGTCAGAGTGGAATCCCAGAATATCAGACTAAGTCTAGCAAACCCTCCCCTTTTCATCCTGATCATTATATAGGAGGTGGCTAGGAGACTATGAACCCTTTCAGGGTGCCTTTTTTGTGACCAAACTACCTTACTAAGATGCATGGACCAGGAGAGTGTGAAGGAGGTAGAGTCAGAAATTTCTTTTAGTGGATTTTTTAAAAGTCCGTTTTACTTCTTGTTGGAGCCAACACCCTAAGGATGATAAGGGGTGTGAAATATCCGTTGAATACCTTGACTTATTGGCTCATTGTTGAGCAACCTCTGCGCAGTAAAAGACATATCATTGTCAGAGTGAAAGTGGTCTGGAAAACCAAAAACATAACACATTTTGATCAGTGTGACTGGCGTTGGTTGAACAGACTGGAACAATGAAACCATAACCCGAAAAAATGTCAACAACTGTAACACATTAACAATAGCCCCAGGTGTGTGTGTGTGTGTGTGTGTGTGTGTGTGTGTGTGTGTGTGTGTCAAAGGCCTGATATAGTCAACTTGTCAGAAGTAAGAGGGACCACACACCATAAAATACGGTCTATTTCACTGAGACAAAACAGGCTGACTTTTGAAAGGAAGCACAAGACCAGCATGCAATGGTAGCGTCAGATACATGTAATCTTTACTCTGTTCCTAGGCCATGATGGCAGATAATGTTGCTATGTGCAGTGTGTTGTTACAGTGTGCAGACTGCTGATCCTGGCAGCAGTGGCAGCAGTCTGGATGGTGTATACTTGATTAGCAGCATCATTGCAGTCTATTCCATTAGAGAATGAGCCATTACCATGGACATCTGTCTGATTCTCTGCTGTGATTTGTTTTCACAGTTCACAGTCCTAAAGAGGAGTGTCTGTAATCCGCTAGTTTGTTTTCTTCCAAGTGGCAGACCAGGTAACATTGTCAACAGCCCAAGAGTCAGTAAAAATATAATATGCCTTGACCAAGGACGTGTTGTTTGTTGACTAAGGCAGATATTGGCAAACTTTGTAGGCTCCACCTGCAGTGTCACTTTAGCCTCTCTTCCCCACTGAAGACTTTACCCAGACCTCATCAGTTGCATTTGGTTGCCTTTTTCCCCTAAGGGATCAGAGACCAAGGAGCTTAATGTGTGCCCAAGTTATGAATTATAGCAACAGCCAACAGGAGACTGCTGTTCACCAGCTGGAAGTGTGGGGAATGCAGAGTGGCAGGGAGGTTGGCTCACAGGGAATGCTGAGGGTGTTGAGGATGATATTTCCCTCTTGCTGTCCACTCCTGTATTGATGCCACCCCAGTATTGATACCTGAGCATCAGATACCCAGCTTCCTCCCCTGGGTACCTCCCATTGAGCATCCAAACCCGGAAGTCCTTCTTTTTCTTCCCCAGTGGAAACCGCTACATTTTACTCCACGGTCCTTGATAATTTCGGCCACCCATATGCCCAGCACCCCATCATCCTCACCAATCAAATCAGACTGTCGCAGGAGCCAGATATATAAGCAGCTGGCTTTGCACTGTTAGGCAAGGCTCTGCATTCACTTTTGTTTTGAGAGACTGCTCACCTGTGGCTCAACCAAATAAATGAGGCTGGTCTCAAACTCCTGGACTCAAGAGATATTCCCACGTTGGCTTCCAAAGTGCTGGGATTATAGATATGAGCCACTACACTTGGCCTACAATTCTGCTACAATTTGACTTCTAAGTCTATACCCAGTTGAATTGAAACTGGGTACTCAAATACTTGTACATGAATGTTCATAGCAGCATTATTCACATTAGCCAAAGGTAGAAAAACCCAGACAGATGTCCATCAATTGATGAATCAATAAACAAAATGTGGTATATTTGTATAGTTGAATGTTATTCAGCTGTAAAAAGGAATGAAATACTGATACATACTACAATGTGGATAAACCTTGAAAACATGATGCTAATTGAAGGCAGCCAGACACAGAGGCCACATATTGTATAAATCCAGATAAATCAATAGTGACAGGAAGCAAATTGGTAGTTCTGAGGTATTACAACCCATAATTGGTATTTGTGAGAAAAAGGAGGAATGGGGATTGACTTTTTTTTTTTTTTTTGAGACAGAGTTTCACTCATGTTGTCCAGGCTGGAGTGCAGTGGCACGATCTCAGCTCACTGAAACCTCTTCCTCCATGGTTCAAGCGATTTTCCTGCCTCAGCCTCCCAAGTAGCTGGGATTACAGGCACCTGCCACCACACCCGGCTAATTTTGTATTTTTGGTAGAGATGGGGTTATACCATGTTGGTCAGGCTGGTCTCGAACTCCTGACCTCAGATGATCCACATGCCTCAGCTTCCCAAAGTACTGGGATTACAGGTGGGAGCCACCACACCCGGCAGGGACTGACTTCTTAATAGAGATAAGTTTTCTTTTGGGCTGGTGAAAATGTTTTAGAACTAGATACAGGTGGTAGTTGCACAACATTGTAAATGTACAAAATGCCACTGAAGTGCACACTGTAAAATGATTAATTTCATATTATCTTTCATCTCAACTTTTTAAAAGAAAAAAGTAAAGCAATGTATGTTGACAATGTCAAATGACAACGGAATGGAAAAATTAAATGTAGTATATTCACACAATGAAATATATATATACACACATACATGTATCATCTATATATTATAACATATATTGAGAACGAAATGAACTGTGGCCGCATGCAACCACTTGAATAAATTGCACAAACAAAAGGTTCCATTGTATAACTATATTGTAATTCATTCTATTTACTGTGGATGGTAATTTGAGTTGTTTTTAGTTCTCTCTGTTACAAACAATGCTGCTGTGAGTTTTGTTGTCTACATCTTCTGACTCAAAAGTGCAAGGTTTTCCAGGGTTGATACCTCCAACTGGAATTGCTAGATCTTAGGATCTATACATCTTTAGCTTTACTAGATAAGGCCAAACAGTTTTCTCAGATGCTTGTACCAAATTACATGCCTACTCTCAATGTTTGAGAGTTCCTGTTGACTACCATCTTGACCAACATTTGATGTTCTCCATACCTTTCTGAAGTCTTTGAAGTCTCTAAAGAGATAGGGAGGCTTGATAAAATGCTACATAAGTTCTTACAATCACTAGATCTACAGTGAGCAATACAAATAACATATTGTATATTCCAGAACAAATATAATTTTATATGTGTATAATTGTATATATTTTTACTTCCCTAACAAAATGTCTAACCTTTTCTCTACATTTTTGAAATTTCTGAAAAATTTGCTTTTCTGATCCTAGTGATGCTTAGGAAAGATTTTATATCATTAAAAAGAAATTGGGAGGTCACTTCCAAGATGGCTAAATGGGAACAGCTCCAGTCTGCAGCTCCCAGCAAGATTGACGCAGAAGATGGGCGATTTCTGCATTTCCAACTGAGGTACCTGGTTCATCTCACTGGGACTGGTTGAACAGTGACTGCAGCCCACGGAGGGCGAGCTGAAGCAGGGCAGGGCGTCGCCTCACCTGGGTGCAAGGGGTCGGGGGATTTCCCTTTCCTAGTCAAGGGAAGCTCTGAGTGACTGTACACTCCTGCCCAAATACTGCGCTTTTCCCACGGTCTTCCCAATCAGCAGACCAGGAGACTGCCTCCTGTGCCTGGCTTGGCAGGTCCCATACCCACGGAGCCTTGCTCGCTGCTAGCGCAGCAGTCTGAGATCGACCTGGGATGTGGGAGCTTGGCGGGGGGAGGGGCGTCTGCCATTGCTGAGGCTTGAGTAGGCGGTTCTATGCTCACAGTGTAAACAAAGTGGCAAGGAAGCTCACACTGGGCGGAGCCCACTACAGCTCAGCAAGGCCTACTGCCTCTCTAGATTCCACCTCTGGGGCAGGGCATATCTGAACAAAAGGCAGCAGACAGGTCTATAGACCCAGGCAAACAGGGTCTGGAGTGGACCTCCAGTAAACTCCAACAGACCTGCAGCTGAGGGGCCTGTCTGTTAGAAGGAAAACTAACAAACAGAAAGGAATAGCATCAACATTAACAAAAAGGACATCCACACCAAAACCCCATCCATAGGTCACCAACATCAAAGACCAAAGGTAGATAAAACCACAAAGATGGGGAGAAACTAGAGCAGAAAGCCTGAAAATTCCAAAAACCAGAATGCCTATTCTCCAGAGGAACACAACTCCTTGCCAGCAAGGGAACAAAACTGGACAGAGAATGAGTTTGACGAGTTGACAGAAGTAGGCTTCAGAAGGTTGGTAATAACAAACTCTCCAAGCTAAAGAAGCATGTTCTAACCCAACACAAGGAAGCTAAGAACCTTGATAAAAGGTTACAGGAACTGCTAACTAGAATAACCAGTTTAGAGAAGAACATAAATGACCTGATGGAGCTGAAAAACACAGCATGAGAACTTCATGAAGCATATACAATATCAATAGCCAAATTGATCAAGCAGAAGAAAGAATAGCAGAGATTGAAGATCAACTTACTGAAATAAGAGGCAAAGACAAGATTAGAGAAAAAGGAATGAAAACGAACAAAGCCTCCAAGAAATATGGGACTATGTGAAAAGACCAAACCTACGATTGATTGGTGTACCTGAAAGTGATTGAGAGAATGGAACCACGTTGGAAAACACACTTCAGGATATTATGCAGGAGAACTTCCCCAACCTAGCAAGACAGGCCAACATTCAAATTCAGGTTGAACAATGAGAACACATGGACACAGGGAGGGGAACATCACACACTGGGGCCTGTCGGGGGGTTGGGGACAAGGGGAGGGAGAGCATTAGGACAAATACCTAGTGCATGCAGGGCTTAAAACCTAGATGACAGGTTGATAGGGGCAGCAAACCACCATGGCACATGTATACCTATGTAACAAACCTGAATGTTCTGCACATGTATCTCAGAACTTAAAGTAAAATTAAAAAAAAAAAGTTAACTATAAATCTTAGTTACCAAGAAATCCCAGTTTCTGATACTGCCTCTTGTGAATTAAATAAGACTGAATTAAATTAGACTGTCTGTAGACAGATTAGAAGGCACCACAGAAGAGTCTTGAATTAAAACAAGTTTAAAGTAGCTTGACACTAGAGAAGAATTTATTTAATCTTTCTTCATAACGAATGTGTTTATCCAGGAATACCATTTGACCCAGCAATCCCATTACTGGGTATATACCCAAAGGAATATAAATGATTCTATTACAATGAATGTTTGCTTATTGCACACATATGTTTATTGCAGCACTATTCACAATAGCAAAGACATGGAACCAACTCAAATGCTCATCAGTGATAGACTGGATAAAGAAAGTGTGGTACATATAAACCATGGAATACTATGCAGCCATAAAAAGAAATGAAATCACGTCCTTTGCAGGGACATGGATAAAGCTGGAAGACATCATCCTCAGCAAACTAACACAGGAACAGAAAACCAAACACCGCATGTCATAAGTGGAGCTGAATGATGAGAACACATGGACACAGGGAGGGGAACAACACACACCGGGGCCTGTGGTTGGGGGGAGCAAGGGAAAGGATAGCATCAGGACAAATAGACAATGCATGTGGGGCTTAATACCTAGGTGTATATCCCGGAACTTAAATAAAAATGTAAAAAAAAAAATCAGTTCCTGGTGGTTTGTAAGTCAAAAAGGAAAGGTGAAACAATAAACTTAGTGAATTCTTGTAGAAGAAAACATAGGAGAATATCTTCATGAACTTAGGACAGGGAAAGTTTATGAACAGGACAAAAAATCACCTGCTGTAATGGAAAACACTGATAAATTGGACTGTATTAGAATGTACTTCTCTTCAGCAAAAGACATGATTAAGAAAGTGGAAAGGCAATCCACGGAATGGGGGAATATATTTGCAACGTATATAACAAACAGAAGGTTCATATCCAGCATATAACAGGAATTCCTATATATCAGTAAGAAACATAATTAACCCAAAATGAAAGAGGGCAAAATACTTGAGTAGATACTCCACAAAAGAGGATATCCAACCAGACAATAAAAAGATGAATGTGTACCCATATTAATCAGAGATTGCAATTTAATGCCACATTGCATTGCTATTATATACCCACTAAAATGACTAAAATTTAAAAGATTAACAATGCCAAGTGTTGGCAAGGATATGGACCACAAGAATGCTCATTCACCAATGGTAGGATTGTGATTGGGTACAACCACTTTGAAAAACTGGCATTAAGCTAAACATATGCCTACCCTATGAGCCAGCAGTTCCACTACTAGATATATACACTCAGTTGAAACACAGATACGTGTGTACCAAAAGACATGTCTAAGAATATTCATATTGATATTCATAATAATAAAGAGTTACAAATGACCCAACTGTATATTCACTGTAGAATAAATTGGTCAAACAACAGAATATTATACGTTAGTGAAAATGGACATGAACAACGTGAAAATGGAAATGAATAATCTATAGCTACATGTAACGATACAGATAAATTTCACAAACATAATGTTGAGCAAAAGAAACCATGGAAAAATGATGGAGCAATACTGAAATCAAACAGAATAGTCTCTAAAGTGAAAAACATGAATACGGATAAAGAGAGACATTACTTAATGATAAAAGGAATATTCCACAAGAAAATATCATGAATTTGCAACTGACACCAGTCTTACAAAAAGGAAACCTGTCATGTAGTTTAGTCAAATTTAGTCACGTTAGGAAACTTAATAAACTACTCTTAAATTTTATAAATACAGAAAACAGCTCAGAGTGTGGTCAGGTGGCTCAGATCTAGCAGAGTTTTCCTTATCCCAGTGGATTTTGTAGAATACACTGCCAGTCTCTTGTCTTTCATTCATCATGGCTACTTCTGATATCCAGGTGAAAGCACTGGAGAAGTGTGCCTCAGGCTAGGCTTTTGAACTGATTCTCAGATACCATCAAAAGAATCCATCCCAGAGTTCCTTATTTCCCCTCCAAAGAAGAAAGATCTTTCCCTGGAGGAAATTCAGAATAAATCAGAAGCTTCAGAAGAAAGACACAAGCCCTGCGAAGCTGAGGCCTTGAAGCAGCTTGCTGAAAAATGAGAGCAGGAGAAAGAAGTGCTTCAGAAATCAATAAAAGAACAGCTTCAGTGAAATAGCAGAAGAGAAACTGACCCACAAAATGGAAGCTAACAAAGAGAACAGGAAGGCGCAAATGACTACCACACTGGAGTGTTTGCAGAGAAAGATAAGCACGTTGAAGAAATGCGGAAGAGCAAAGAATCCAGAGATCCTGGTGATGAGGCTGAAGCTGACTAATTTGTTCTAAGAACTGACTTTCTCCCCGCTCTTCTTCCTAGATATTCAGACTATACTGGCCAGTGTCATTTTATTTTTTGCTCCTGACAAATATTCTAGAAGCTGATGTAGGACTAGATAGGTAAATCCAGCCTGTACAATGTTGTTTTAGGAGCTAAAGGGAAGAAACTGAAAGAGTTTTACTCTTTTTCTAAAATGTTGGTCTTTCTAACATAGCTATTTTTCTTGTTGCATCTTTGCTACTTCAGTACACTTGGGTTAATGGCTAGTACTGTACTGGCTTTGTGAAACATATTTGTGAAAAGAGTATGTAGTGGCTTCTTTTGAACTGTTTGATACGGAATATTTGTTCATTTTTTAATCCCAATTCTGTCCTAATTTTACCAGATGCTACTGGACTTGAATGGTTAATAAAATTGCACAATGTTGTTGGTGGCAGTGACTTCTTTCTGTTCAGGTAATAAGTTAAAAAGATCCTCCTAGTTTATATTTGTTTCAGGTAGAGCTTTTAGGTCAATGGAAATAACCAGCATACACATTACTGCAAAGTCTCTGCTTTTGAGTTTCTTGCTCCAGAGTTGTTTGTATTGTCTTCTACAATCATTGCTTTGTTTCAATGCCTGGACCCTGATCAGCTGTTGCTATATTCTTTCAAATGTTTATTTGCAAACAATCTTTTTTGTTCTGTGTTCCTGTTTAAAAAGCAGATTAAGGCCGAGCACAAGGCTCATGCCTGTAATCCCAGCAGTTTGGGAGGCCAAGGTGGGAGGCTCACTTCAGCCCAGGAGTTCAAGACCGGCCTGGGCAACATATAGAGACCCCATCTCTACAAGAAATACAGAAAATTAGCTGATTGTGGTGGTGCATGTCTGTAGTCCCAACTACTTGGGAGGCTGAGGTAAGAGGATCACTTGAGCCTTGGAGGTTGAGGCTGCAGTGAGCTGTGATTGTGCCACTGTACTCCAGCCTGGGCAACAGAGTGAGACCTTGTCTCAAGATAAATAAATAAAAATTTTAAAGGCAGATTAAAGGCACAAATGGTGTTTCTAGAGAACAATTTAGAGGGAATCTTAAGATCCTAGTTGGAGATATCTGGTGGTTTGCTTGCTTTATGTTACAGGTGGAGGTGTATTCTAATGCTTTCCTGCCGTAAAAGCTATAATTTGAGAATTGGAAAATTTTTTGGGCTTTTTTCTTTACCCCCGACTCATAGTACAGCTTTGAGAATATAATAATATTAAAAAAGCTTTCCATGCTGCTGTAGCAACTCCTGTGAAATGATTTAAGGGAACTTTATTTATATTTTAAAAATCAATAATTTATTTATAGATATATGTATTAGTATTAAAAGTATAATTAAATAATGGACAGGAACTATTTTTAAAACTTTATGGTAGTAATTGTCTCTACAAACAGAGATACATAGAGTAAACCAGTCGAGTATATAAAAGTGGCTTTAATTTTATCAGAAAATTTTTTTTTTCTTTTTTTGAGACAAGGTCTAGCTCTCTCACCCAGGCTGGAGTGCAGTGGTACAATCACAGCTTACTGCAGCCTCACCTCCTGGACTCAAACAATCCTCCCACCTCAGCACCCCCGCACCCCAGGTAGCTGGGACTACAAGTGAATGCCACTACACCCAGCTAATTTTTGTATTATTTGTAGAGACAGGGTTTTGCCATGTTTCCCAGGCTGGTCTTGAACTCCTGGGCTCAAGTGAGCCTCCTGTCTCAGTCTCCCAAAGTGCTGGGATTATAGACATAAGCCACCATGCTCAGCCTTAATCAGAAATGTTTTATGTCTTGAGATGTCTGACACAAATATGATAAAAGAGTAACAAAATTCTAGGTTTGAGGTACATAGATGTATATCACCCTGTTTTATATTTCTGTATTTTTGAAATTTTTTATTATAAAACAACAAGCAAAAACTTGCAGAAATGAAAAGAAGACTTGATTTTAAATTACAAATATCATAAACTAGAAATTCCACATTTAGTAGAAAAATAAGAATATAGTAGAATTAGATAATACTGTAAATAAACATATATACATTAAACATATTTATGTGCAAACACATATACATACATGGAGAGAGATACTTATACATACATATATATATAACACACAGAGAGAACATTACATCTCTCACGTAGATAATATACATTCTCTGAATATATAGAGCATGTATTTGGCCACAACAAAGAGCTCTTACAAATTTGTCAACAAATAACAAAATGGTCCTCAAAAAACTAAAAATGGAACTACCCTATGATTCAGCAATTTCACCACTGGGTAAATATCCAAAAGAAAATAAATAAATATATAAAAGAGATATCTGCACTCCCATGTTTATTGCAGCACTATTTGTAATAACCAAAATATGGGCCGAGCATGGTGGCTCACACCTGTAATCCCAACACTTTGGGAGGCCGAGGCGTGTGGATCACGAGGTCAGGAGTTTGAGACCATCCTGGCTAACATGGTGAAACCCCGTCTCTACTAAAAAAGAAAAAATTAGCTGAGTGTGGTGGCATGCACCTGTAGTCCCAGCTACTTGGGAGGCTGAGGCAGGGGAATTGCTTGAACCCGGAAGGCAGAGGTTGCAGTGAGCTGAGATTGTGCCACTGCACTCCAGCCTGGCAACAGAGCAAGACTCTGTCTCAAAAAAATAAAAATAACCAAAATATGGAATCAACCTAAGTGCCCATCAATGGATGAATGAATAAAGAAAATGTGGTATAATACATATATATGATGGAATATTATTCAGCCATTAAAAAATAATGAAATCTGCTGGGTACGGTGGCTCATGCCTGTATTCCCAACACTTTGGGAGGCCAAGGCAGGCAGATCACGAGGTCAAGAGTTCAAGACCAGTCTGGCCAACATGGTGAAACCCTGTCTCTACTAAGAATACAAAAATTAGCCGGGCGTGGTGGCATGTGCCTGTAATCCCAGCTATTTGGGAGGCCAAGGAAGGAGAATTGCTTGAACCTGGGTGGCAGAGGTTGCAGTGAGCCGACATTGCACCACTGCACTCTAGCCTGGGCGACAGAGCAAGACTCCATCTTGAAAAAAAATAATAATAAAATAAAATAATAATGAAATCTTAGTCAAGTGTGGTAAGCATGCCTCTAGAAGCTGAGGCAGGAGGATCTCTTGAGCCTAGGAGGTTAAGGCTGCAGTGAGCTGTGATTGCACCATTGCACCCCAACCTAGGCAACAGAGCAAGACCCCATCTCGGGAGAGAGGGAGGTAGGGAAGGAGGGAGGGAGGGAGGAAGGGAGGGAGGGGGGAATGAATGAATTCTGTCATATGCAGCAACATGGATGGAACTGGAGGTCATTTTGTTAAGTAAGCCAGACACAGAAAGACAAATGTCACATGTTCTCATTCATATGTGGGAACTAAAAAAAAGTGGATATCATGAAGATAGAGAGTAGATGGGTGGCTAACAGAGGCTGGGAAGGGCAGGGGATGGCGGCATAGAGAGAGGTTGATTAATGGGTATAAATACACAAATAAAAAATAGTGTTCAATAGATGGGTAGGGTGACTATAGTTAATAATAATCTATTATACACTTCAAAATGGTTAGAAGAGAATAATTTGAATGTTCCTAGCATAAACAAAAGATAAATATTTAAGGTGATGGATAACCCAGTTACCCTGATTTGATCTTTACACATTATATGAATGTATCAAATTATCACATGTACCCTGAAAATATGTACATCTATTATGTATCAGTTTTTAAAAATAACAAAACAGGCAAAGGATATGTATAGATTGTTTATGGAAAAGCATATCCAGATAGCCAGCAAGCTCATGCAAGGATGTTGTTTATTGGTAATTAGAGAAATACAAGTTAAAGTAATAGTGAGACATCATTTTCACCTGTTAGGCCTTCCAACATTTAAGAGTAGGTGATCTTGAAAACAGTGCTGAGTGAAAAACTAAACAAATCTATGACAAGTCCCATGTTTATAAATTAGAAATGCATGCATACAATAAACATGTTAAAAGGAAATATACAATGAAAGGATACACATTAAACATGAGAATGGTTTCCTAGAGGGGTGGGGAATGGGAGTGGGAAATGGAGATAACAAAGAAATGGAAAGAATAAATAAAATTAAAATTAAATATAAAATAAATAAATAGGGCTGGGTGCGGTGGCTCATGCCTGTAATCCCAAGTGAGGAGTTTGGACCATCCTGGCCAATATGGTGAAACCCCATCTCTATTAAAAATACAAAAATTAGCCAGGCATGGTGGCACACGCCTATAGTCTCAGCTACTTGGGAGGCTGAGGCAGAAGAATTGCTTGAACCTGGGAGGCAGAGGTTGCAGTGAGCTGAGATCATGCCACTGCACTCCAGCCTGGGTGACAGAGTGAGACTCTGTCTCAAAAAATAAATAAACTAGCCATGATATCTATTGCTGGAAGGATGTAGAGGGAAAGGAGCTTTCTGACACTACTAATAGAAATATGAAGTGTTTTCCAGACTTTCTGAAAAATAATCTGACAACATATCCTAGAAATAGTGGTAATGCTTGTCAGCATACAAGTCACTAAATAGATCATCCGTACTGTGAAATATGATGTGACCATTAAGGGAGAATCAGTACTGTGTCGGATGCCTTGAAGGGATTTCATAAGATACTGAATGAAAGACAGTGTATAAAAGTAAGTGTACTGTGGTGCCGTTTTAGGAAACAATGACCCCTCCCCCACACAAGCCTTTAAATGTGTGTGTGTGTGTGTGTGTGTGTGTGTGTGTGTACAAGAACAGAGAAAAATAAGAAAGAATATATGCTACATTGGTGTAGAGAGCTAATGGAGGGGGAAGGACAAGAGAGGAAACTGTGTAGGAAACCAAAAGAGGAAAAAGAAAAAATTAACATTGCACTAAAAAATTAATCACAGGTATATGATCACATTCACTCATGAATGTAAAATTTTGTATATATGGGGATATTTGTAGACAGAAATTAATAAGATTTGTATTTGTTTCTTTAAAGTATGAGTTTTTCAGATGGTTGGAATTTCAGGACACAGATAAGATATGTTGGTCATAAGATTCTTGGTTGTTGCCTGATAACTCTACTTTCTGCCTATACAACCCTGGCACTGAGTTTGATATCTCTGTGATTTGTAATATTTGCTGAATCTTTGTGGTTATGGTTCTTTCTCTAGTGATTTCATTATCCACATAGTTTTCAAGAAAAATAGTAAAAACAAGTTTGCTGGATTAACAGATAAAACTTTTCAATTAGTGGGTCCCAATATAAAGCTTATTTAGGAGTATGTGTCTTAGAAATTAGACACTTAGGAAAAACATTCTTGTTGGTCATTTAAAATGCATTTTGATAAATGAGGTATGCATAGAAAAAAATTGTAGAGGAAGAGCATCTTGTCCGTAATTTAACACAGACTAGGTTTTTGAAGCTTACAGAGCTAAAGTTGTAAATATAGTATTAATATAAAATGTATATACTTTTTTTTGAGACAGGATCTTGCTCTGTTGCCCAGGCTGGAGCGTAGTGGCACAATCACAGCTCACTGCAGTCTCGACCTTCTGGGCCCAAGCGATCCTCCCACCTCAGCCTCCCAAGTAGCTGGGACTACAGGCTCACATCACCATGCTCAGCTAATTTTTGTATTTTTTTTCTTTTTTTGTAGAGACAGGGTTTCACTATGTTGTTCAGGCTGGTCTCAAACTCCTGAGCTCAAGCCATCCTCCTGCCTGGGCTTCCCAAAGTGTTGGGATTACAGGCGTGAGCCACCACACCCAGCCAAAATGTACACACTTTTATGAAAGGGCTAAGTGCTAACAAATAGCATTAAGACAAGTGTTAGGAATCAGTACAGGCCCAGTGTGATTTACTATATTGTATTTGTATTTCAGATGCCTTTGGTGCTTCATGAAGAATATTTCCAGATATCTCACAGACATTAAGCCTTTGCCTCCCAACATAAAAGACAGACTGATTAAAATAATGAGTATGCAGGGACAGATAACAGATTCAAATATAAGTGAGGTAAGAGTATGAATAACTGTAAAGCAAGCATATTATATTTTCTGTTTAGATATGGTTTTAGATTTTTGGAACAATGGTATATGGTAAGACTGGTAATCATTTTTAATTTTTTTTTTTTTATACAGGGTCATGCTCCGTTGCCCAGGCTGGAGTACAGTGGTGCAATCTCAGCTCACTGCAACCTCCGCTGCCTGGACTTAGGTGATCCCTCTTCAGCCTCCTGAGTAGTTGGGACTATAGGTGTACACCACCATGCCTGGCTAATTTTTGCATTTTTTGTAGAGACAGGGTTTCACCATGTTGCCCAGGCTGGTCTCGAACTCCGGAGCTCAAGTGATCCATCCGCCTCAGCCTCTCAAAATGCTGGGATTACAGGTGTGAGCCACCATGCCTGGCCCACATTTTAGAATATTATAAAGTATAAGGGTTTGTTTTTTTCCCTCCAGATAACCAAAATGTCCATATGTAATTATCAGAGGAACCTGCCCCCAATATTTCAATGTAGGTTCTTTCTATTTTTCCTAAGTGTCGGCTGGTCTGAGAAATAAAGAGAAAGAGTACAAAGAGAGGAATTTTACAGCTGGGCCGCCGGGGGTGACATCACATATCGGTAGGACTGTGATGCCCACCTGAGCCACAAAACCAGCAAGTTTTTATTAAGGATTTCAAAAGGGGAGGAATGTACGAACAGGGAGTAGGTCACATGCTTTAAAGGGCAAAAAGCAGAGCAAAGATCACATGCTTCTGAGGAAACAGGGCAAGGACAAAATCAGAACTCCTGATAAGGGTCTATGTTCAGCAGTGCACGTATTGTCTTGATAAACATCTTAACAGAAAACGGTTCGAGAGCAGAGAACCAGTCTGACCTCAAATTTACCAGGGCTGGGGTTTCCCAATCCTAGTAAGCCTGAGGGTACTGCAGGAGACCAGGGTGTATCTCAGTCCTTATCTCAACCGCATAGGACAGACACTCCCATAGGACAGACACTCCCAGAGTGGCCATTTATAGACCTCCCCCCAGGAATGCAATTCTTTCCCTAGGGTCTTAATATTCCTTGCTAGGAAAAGAATTTAGCAATATCTCTCCTACTTGCACGTCTGTTTATAGGCTCTCTGCAAGAAGAAAAATATGGCTCTTTTTGCCTGACCCCGCAGGCAGTCAGACCTTATGGTCGTCTTCCCTTGTTCGCTAAAATTGCTGTTATTCTGTTCTTTTTCAAGGTGCACTGATTTCATATTGTTCAAACACATGTTTTACAATCAATTTGTACAGTTAATGCAATCATCACAGTGGTCCAGAGGTGACGTACATCCTCAGTTTATGAAGATAATAGGATTAAGAGATTAAAATAAAGACAGGCATAAGAAATTATGAAAGCATTATTTGGGAAGTGATAAATGTCCATGAAATCTTCACAATTTATGTTCCTCTGCCATGGCTCCAGCTGGTCCCTCCATTTGGGGTCCCTGACTTCCCGCAACATGTAATAGTTCCTAAAACATCTTCTACCATTGTCTCAGTTACTTCTCTTGTGTCAACCAGAGTCGTGGAGACTGAAAATCCAAGCAAAAAGGTTTATTGGTGGTTTTAGAATTGAATTCAAGGAACACAGATTCCAGAGGCATCTGAAATCATGTCCTAACTATTTAATTCATATGTCCTAAGAGATATATGAGGTCTTTTAAAGAGAAAGGTGGGAGAGGGTTATCAAACAATTCATTAGTTAGAATAAGGGTTTCTAGGCAGAAGTCCTTGATTCAGGGGTTTGGAAAAAGTTCAGTCATCAGCATAGCATAGTCTTTTCAGAAGTGGCAGCAATTTCATCTGCAGCATCAGCAAGTACGTTCTACAGTCAAGCAGTTGCAGAATGACATTCAGGAACAAAATGGTGTTGTTCTGGTCAGCTCCCATTAGCCTTCCATACACACTTGTCTTCATGGTACCTGTACCCTTGACCTCCGTGTTTTCAAAAAGTTTAAAACTTTTTGATCAAGACTCACAATAAGAAATATACGTTACATTGTGACTGTAGTACACAAACCACACTTAGGTGTAACAGTATAATGTATAGTACATTTTGGTCTTTTCTATTTAATTTTATTCTATTTAGTCTTATTTTACTGAAAAAATATTGATCACAGTCTGCTAAACTGATTTTGTAATCCATTCATGGATAATGACCAGTAGTTAAAAAATCACTCTTCTCATCTATACTGTTCTTTTTTCAACTGCTATATTTTTCATATTTAATATTTCCAATTCACCTTTTTATGGTTTCGTTTTATCTTATTAATCTTTTCTTATTTCTTTTAGCATATTATTATGCTTATTAATATATTTGGCCTCTCTGTTCTAATTCCTCTGCTCCTGATGGAATCAGTAATCTTTGTTTTTCTTTTGAAATAGTGGTGCTCTCTAGATGTCTTGTTTTGGCCTGTGAACATATCTCTGTATACTCTCTGGTAGTGGTAAGAGTAAAGGAGGCCAGACCCAAGTCTGTTTCGGCCCTACTAAGCTGACATAGGGGGTGGAGGCCTGGAGAGGGGCTGGAGTGATGAGCTCCAAGGCAGAGAGCCCCAAGCACTAGAAAAAGATGGTTAATCACTCTTTGTTCTGCTAAACAGCCCGTGAGATTAGGGCTTAACCTTCAGCCTCTGATTTTAAAGGTTATTAAATAGCAGAGTAGATAATTTCCTTCGATACTACTCCTGTGTTATCTTTTGTATTTTTGCTATTTGTGTTTCAAAAAGTGAAAATGCTAGTTAGTAGTTTCTACACTACTTACATTTAAATATTGTCTTTGGGTTTGCAGCCACCACCACTCTGCAGCCATCACCATCTAGTCTGCAGAGACTAGAACTGCCAATTGCTGTTGGGGGTGAGCGGCATCTATCCAGGCTGGTGGGATGGTGGTAAAAGAATTTACCAAGACAGTTGTAGGTAAAGAAAGGCAGATTTTTTTTTTTTTTTTTTTTTTTTTGAGACGGAGTCTTGCTGTTTCACCCAGGCTGGAGCGCAGTGGCATGATCTTGGCTCACTGCAACCTCTGCCTCCCAGGTTCACGCCATTCTCCTGCCTCAGCCTCCTGAGTAGCTGGGACTACAGGCGCCCGCCACCACACCCAGCTAATTTTTTGTATTTTTAGTAGAGACGGGGTTTCACCATGTTAGCCAGGATGGTCTCGATCTCCTGACCTTGTGATCTGCCCGCCTCAGCCTCCCAAAGTGCTGGGATTACAGGCGTGAGCCACCGCGCCCGGCCAAGAAAGGCAGATTTATTAGAGAAAATATGAAAATACATTGCAAGGGAGCAACGGGCAGAACCAGCAAGAGAGGACCCAACTGCCAGGAGACAAAGGCTTGCTGGGGATTTTATAGAATGGAACTTGGGCTGATTGACAGCACCAAGGTAGGAGGGAACTAACTTGCATCCTTCTGTCAGCCGAGGTGTTTGATGATAGATCAAAGTGTTTGGTGATAAGCAGGAGGTTTATGAGTTTTGTATGTTGTCTGCACAGGAGGGCTATATGTTCTGGGCCATAAAGAAAGGCAGACCTATAGCTTATCTGCTTCTTCTTTTTGTTTATATGTTCTGGACCATGAAGAAAGGCAGACCTGTAGCTTATTTGCTTTCCCCTTGTCCTGCCAGCCTGACTCCTTTTCCCTAATTAGGACTCCACAATTGCTCTGACTTCACTTCACCTTCTGCCTAAAGCCTGTAATCAAAAGGAAGCAAGGTCTGATGATAGCACTCCAGCATATGTTTTTCTGTGGTTTTTGCTTGTTTGTTGTTTTTTTTTTGAGACAGGGTCTCACTCTGTCACCCAGGGTAGAGTGCATAATCATGGCTCACTGCAGCCTCAACCTCCTGGGCTCAGGTGATCCTCCCACCTCAGCCTCCTGAGTAGCTAGGACTACAGGCACCCACTACCACATCCAGCTAATTTTTGTATTTTTTTTAGAGACAGGGTTTCACCATGTTGCCCAGGCTGGTCTTGAACCTCTGGGCTCAAGCAATCTGCCCACCTTGGCCTCCCAAAGATCTAGGATTATAAGTGTGAGCCACAGTGCCCAGCCTACATGCTAGAGCATGTGACTAACCCTGTGACTTTACATTGGAATTGCACTTTAACCTGTTTTTAATGTTTCTTCTGCATTAACCTGATATATCTTTATTATAATGCTTTATTTTCTTCATGTTAGCTTGCATTTGAACATAGATACCTTAGTGGTGTAGTTTGCTTGGCTCTGTGGAAGTAGAATAATATCTCCACGTTCTTATTGTTGATGGTTCTGTTGAAGTATGTAATGTTATATGTGACTCATAGATGAACCATAATGACACTGTAGAAAAATGGTGGTTTTCTTCACTTTTCCACCATCCACATTTCTTACTATCCCTTTAGCTTATCCTTCAGTGACTTAGGTTTTTGTTTGATGGCAATCCTTACCATTTTTTAAGCCTAATTTTAGCTGAATTTAAAAGGAGGGGTGAAGAGGGTGAATGAGATAGAAAAACAAGACATGATTTTTCTGGGTACTCTCCCTCTAGTCTCCATCCTTAACAAGAGTCTTGCTTATGACATTATTCAAAAAGCCAGATACAACATCCATTACAAAGTGACACACATCTTTGGATGGCTGTTTTTGAAGTATTTCATAAATCTTTTTATACTCTCTGGATGGAGAAGGCCTTTTTAAACATGATACTAAAGTTGGAAACCAAGAAAAAAAGTTGGATGGATTTGATTACATAAAAATACAGACTTCCTTATGGCAAGAAGAAAAAAAAAAAAGAAACAAAGTCAAAAACTTGGAAAAATATTTACAGTATGTATGAAAATCTAGGGGCTTTTTTATCTTGACAATATAAAGAATCCCTCCAAGCCAATAAGAAAAAACAAAACAACCAAATAAAAAACCAGAAGAATCAGGAAATACTCAGAGGAAAAAATACAAATCTCCAATAACATATCAAAGGATATTTAACCTTACTAGTCATCAAAGTGACAGTTTGCCTTTCAGTTTGGCAGAGACTTTAAAAAAATCCCAAAACCCAATGTTAGCAATAGTGTGGAGAAACTGTCACTTTTATCTCCTGCTAGTGAGAGTGTAAATTGATTTAAAAAAACCTTTTAGACGGACAGTTTGGCATTATTAAAAATTCTAAAGATTTGCTTATTATTAATTCAACAATTTACTTCCTGTAGAAATCTCAGGAAGATAATAGAAAAGTACACACATATATTCATTATAATATCATTTATGATAATAAGCATAGTTATATATAGCATATGTTATAAGCAAGACACCTTTATTTCTCACAACATATCCTGTTTTAGTAATAAGGCTAGTAAAGCACAGAGAGAAAACTGAGCTTGATGGCAATCATAGGGTTCCAGGTTGGGCAGTCTGCTTGCAAAGCACATGTTCTTAATCACGGCATAATATTGCCTACCTAAAGCAACCTAAATGTTCAACTCAAGTGTTTGCCAGTGTAGGATGCATTTAATAAGTTATGATACTTGCAGAAAATGGAATAATATACAACCACAATCTATTGATTTTATAAAAAGTGCTCATCTTATATGTGATCTGATCCTGTTGTTCTTCAAAGCGTTTTTTAAACTCAAAAAACATCAAAATGAATATATACAGCCATAAAATCATGTCCTTTACAGCAACATGGATGCAGCTGGAGGCCGTTATCCTAATGAATAAATGCAGACACAGAAAACCAAATACTGCATGTTCTCACTTATAAGTGGGAGCCAATCGCTGGGTGCACACAGACATAAAGATGGGAAAAATACACACTGGGGACTTCAAAAGGGAGGAAGGAGGAAGGGAAGCAAGGATTGAAAAACTACCTGTCAAGTACTGTGTTCACTCTTTGGGTGATGGGTTCAATTGAAGCCTAAACTTCAGCATCATGCAGTATATCCCTGTAACTAACCTGCACATGTACCCCCTGAATCTAACAGTTTTAAAAAGCTAATATAATTTTATCTCTGGGTATTGGTATTATGGGTAATTTTAGTTATAGAGGTTAAAAGGTTAGGCTTTGGAATTAAAAGGACCTGGGTTCCAATCCCAGCTCCACTCCTTTTGGCTATGTTCTTTATGTTGGCTACTTAAGCTCTCAGGGTCTTAATTCCCGATTTGTAAAATGGCAATGACCAATCCCTTGGGGGCGGGCAGTGGGGTGGTGGGCAGTGGAAAGAGAGAGAGAGAGAATATTAAATAACATAATGTAGGCCAGGCACAGTGGCTCACGCCTGTAATCCCAGCACTTTGGGAGGCCAAGGCGGGCAGATCACCTGAAGCCGGGAGTTTGAGACCAGCCTGACCAACATGGAGAAACCACATCTCTACTAAAAAATACAAAATTAGCCAGGCGTGGTGGTGCATGCCTGTAATCCCAGCTACTGGGAGGCTGAGGCAGGAGAATCGCTTGAACCCGGGAGGCGGAGGTTGCAGTGAGCCGAGATCACGCCATTGCACTCCAGCCTGGGCAACAAGAGTGAAATTCCATCTCAAAAATAAAATAAAATAAAAAATAATATAATGTATATGACAGTACCCTTCCTGGTAAGCATCTAATAAATAGAAATCATTATTCTTATAACTTATTATAATTTTTCTAAATTGTCTGAGTGTTTTACAATAATAATACCTTATTTTATTTTCAGAAAGGTAAAGCCATTTCTATTTTGGAAAAAAAATAAAGAACAGAAAAATACAGGAAAGAGCTCAGAATGCTTAGGAATTAATCTATTATTTGTCAACCTCAAGAAAACACCCAATAATACTGGGGTATTTTATTAGCTCCCAAAAATAATGATATAGAAGGTAAATGTTCTAGATAAGCAGTACTAGTGCTCTGTAAGCACTTGGTACACAAGTGATTAAAGACTCATACTTCCTAAGCACAGAGGCCCATAGGGAGAGTCTCTAATGCCAGCAGCTACCAGAAGATTATTACTCACTGCCACATTGGTTAAGCTTCTCAGGTCTATGGATCCTTCCCCTGAATTAGCCATCTCAACAGTGCTTTGTGTCCCAAGAAGGACTTTGCCAGCACTGAAAGCTGCACCTCCTGCTGGAAGTAGAAGTGGTTTTCTCCTGCTTTGTGTGTCTGTCTGCACATGGATATGCTTCTGTATTCTTTGCTGTATTTTACATCAGCCACTTGTCTGTTATGACCACCAAAACACTGAATATGGAATAAATATTTGTATTTATAGAAAGAAATAATTTTTTCAAAATCACTTATTTGTTATAGATTTTACATCCTGAAGTCCAAACTCTAGATCTACGGAGCTGCGATATATCAGATGCTGCTCTCCTGCACCTGTCTAACTGTAGAAAACTGAAGAAATTAAATTTAAATGCTTCAAAAGGGAACCGAGTTTCTGTAACTTCAGAAGGTATGTTTATTAACACTGAGTACATTGGTAGATTACTATTCACTATCTGGTAAAATTGTGGAGTAAGGGAGAAAATACGTCAAAAGAGAGTATGAAGAAGTCAGAGAAATATGAATTATATTTATCAGTAAAAACATTCAGACTAAGAAAATAATCCAAGTTAGAATTCTTGCTTATAATCAGTGCTCAAAGTTAAGAAAGACACTGGGTAAGTCACTACCTTGTATTTTAAACATATGTAAAATAAACATGGGCCAGGCTAGGTGGCTTATGACAGTCATTCCAGCACTTTTTTAGCTGGGAGGCCGGCAGACTGCTTGAGCCAAGGAGTTCGATGCCAGCCTGGCCAGCATGATGGACCGCCCCCGACCCCTACCTCATCTCTACAAAAAATACAAAAGTTAGCCAGGCATGGTGGTGCACCCTGTAGTCCCAGCTACTTAGGAGGTGGAGGCACGAGAATCCCTTGAGCCTGGGAGGTAGCAGTTGCAATGAGCTGAGATTGCACCACTACTCCAGCCTGGGTGACATAGGGAGACTCTATCAGAAAGAAATAAAAAATAGGGCCAGGTGCGGTGGCTCATGCCTGTAATCCCAGCACTCTGGGAGGCCGAGGCAGGTGGATCACCTGAGGTCAGGAGTTCGAGACCAGCCTGACCAACATGGAGAAACCCTGTCTCTACTAAAAATACAAAATTAGCCAGGCGTGGTGGTGCATGCCTGTAATCCCAGCTACTTGGGAGGCTGAGGTAGGAGAATCGCTTGAACCTAGGAGGTGGAGGTTGCATTGAGCTGAGATTGTGCCATTGCACTCCAGCCTGGGCAATGAGAGCAAAACTCTCTCAAAAATAAACAACAACAACAACAAAAAATTGGCCAGGCGTGTTGGCTCACGCCTGTAATCCCAGCACTTTGGGAGGCCTAGGCGGGTGGATCACGAGGTCAGGAGATCGAGACCATCCTGGCTAACATGGTGAAACCCCGTCTCTACTAAAACTACAAAAAATTAGCCGGGCATGGTGACACGTGCCTGTAGTCCCAGCTACTCGGGAGGCTGAGGTAGGAGAATCGCTTGAACTGGGGAGGTGGAGGTTGCAGTGAGCCGAGATTGCGCCACTGCACTCCAGCCTGAGCAACAGAGCAAGACTCCGTCTCAAAAAAATAAATAAAATTAAAATTAAAACTAAAAAAAAAACAAAACATGGATACATACGTCTG
The DNA here is from genome assembly GCF_000001405.40 of Homo sapiens. Lineage (NCBI taxonomy): Eukaryota > Metazoa > Chordata > Mammalia > Primates > Hominidae > Homo > Homo sapiens. The sequence continues at coordinate 31,700,644 of NC_000012.12, read as the reverse complement.
TATTTTAAATATTTTGCCTGGTATAGTGGAAGAAGAAATGACCAGTTCATATTTTGTTAAGGCTTTTTTGATGCCATATTACAAAAGAATTAATCATCAGATTAAATTTACTAGGTACTCTCCTATCAGTTTGTGTAATGCATAGCTTTTTATAGCTAGACAAACTGCATTGTTCAGTGTCACTATTACATGAGTTAGTGAATCTTTACCTTTTTTCCTCTCTATAGACCTCTTTTTTTCAATATTTGGTTTGCATTAATACTTATTTTTATTTATTTATTTAAGACAGTGTCTTGATCTGTCACCCAAGCTGGAATGCAGTGGCACAATCTTGGCTCACTGTAGCCTCAGCCTCCCAGGCTCAAGCGATCCTCCCACCTCAGCCTCCCAAGTAGCTGGGACCGCAGATGTGCACCACCACCCACTGCGAATTTTTTATTTTTAGTAGAGACGAGGTCTCACTAGGTTGCCCAGGCTTTTTTTTTTTTTTTAAATATAAGAAAGAGGGACTTTTTTGGCCTCTTAGAATTCTGGAAAACTGTGTGGGTAGTTGAGTATATTTTGCAGTCATCTTGGTTAGCGAGTTAGGATATTCATAATATTGCAAACACGCATAAGTTTTAATATGTTTACATAAATAATAACTCACAAAAAAGAACTTCTCCAATAAAACCACATTTCTCTACACTCACACCACACTTCTGACAGCAAATGTGTGGGGTTTTTTCACACCAAACAATTCTCCAACTCTCTGGACACCAGCTGGGTGCGCTACAATTTAATTCAATTCTGACACTATCTACCTGGAGTTAGCCTCAGATCCCACAAGTTAAGGGCTCAGTCCCACAAGACTATCCCCACTTCAGATGCCAATTGCAAGGCCAGGCCTCTGGTACATATGACTGACCAACTATAAATGGAGGGTTTCCATGACCTCCTCCTCCATTCAATAATTTGTCAGAATGGCTCACAAAACTCAGGGAAACACTTTTGTTACATTTACCAGTTTATTCTAAGAGATTATAAAGGATACAGATGAACAGCAAGATGAAGAGTACATAGGGTGAGGTCTGGAAGCGCAGGAGCCCCTGTCCCCATGGAGTTGGGATACACTGCCCTCCCAGCATGTGGATGCATTCACCAACCCAGAAGCTCATCAAGTCTTCTTGTTCAAGAGGTTTTTTGTTTGTTTTTTCTTCTTCCTTTTTCTTTTCTTTTCTTTCTTTTTTTTTTTTTTTTTTTTTTTTTTGAGACAGAGTCTCACCATATTGCCCAGGCTTGAGTGTAGTGGTGCCATCTCGGCTCACTGCATCCTCCACCTCTGGGTTCAAGTGATTCTGATTCTCCTGCCTCAGCCTCCGGAGTAGCTGGGATTACAGGCATGTAACACCATGCCCAGCTAATTTTTGTATTTTTAGTAGAGACAGGGTTTCACCATGTTGGCCAGGCTGCTCTCAAACTCCTGAGCTCAAGTAATCTGCCCGCCTCGGCCTCCCAAAGTGCTGAGATTACAGGTGTGAACCACCACACCCGTCCCAAGAGTTTTTATAGAGCTTAATCCCCATCCCCTATTCCCTGCCGTCCCTGACCCCCACCTCGCCAAAGGTCTGTGGACTGAGCTGAATGTTCTAACCCTCTACTCACTTGATTTTTCTGGAGACAGGCCCCAACCTTAGGCTATCTAGGGGTCACATGCTGTCACCTCATTAGCTTAAACTCAGGTATGATCAAAAGGGGCTTATTATGACTAACAAAAGGCACTCCGGTCACTCAGGAAATTATAAGGCTTTTCGGAGCTCTGTGTCAGGGACTGGGAACAAAGATCAAATACAGTTCTTATTGTATCACAACTTCCATGCTGGACACTGATAAATAAAATAACTGGTCTTAAGAAAAAAAAAAAGTTCTTTCTTAAGATATGGAAAACAGTAAAAATGACCTACCCATGAATTTACCATCTTCCCTTCTGTGTATTTTGCCCATAAAGGTATCTTTTAACAGTGCTACCATGTTTGTTTATGACCAAAGGGCCCAGGATCCCCGAAGTACTCTTTTATTTATGTGCACCCATCTCCAATGGGCACTTATATCAGCTTAACTGGATTTAAAGACTTCTCTTTTTTGACCCTCAGGAAAATGTAAGATTGGTCCAGGCTAACAGAAGGAGCATGGTGGTAGAAAATAAATTCACTTTTGAGAACAGAGTCAAAGTGGAGCGAGAGAGAACACATAGGCATAGCTATAAATTTCTAACCGCAAGCATGAAGATCATGACTGAAACCATTTGGGCAGTTTAACTTTTGGTTTGCCTCCAAAGTCCACTAGAAAAGTAATTTGATTACTTGAAAATTTTTGTTTTAACCAAAAGGAGAATCGCCTACTATTTCACTATCTAATTGGGTTCTGAATGACTTTTGCCTATTTCCTAAAAGGAATTCAACCTGTGGACAATAAAGCCTTGCCATTAATTGCAGATACTACAGACTGTGTAGAGAATTCCTGAAACATTCCAAAAGAGTTCTGAATAATGACAGTATCACTGGAAAATCAGTATTTCCTCACAGGTGGACTACTTTGAAAAGGGCTAACACTGAACTGGTGATTGCTAAAATGAAAATCAGTCACATTTCTCATGTATACATATACACACATATAGCTCATTGATATATAATTATATTTTCCCCCAGGAATAAAAGCTGTGGCTTCATCTTGTTCATACCTACACGAAGCTTCTTTGAAAAGATGCTGCAATCTCACTGACGAAGGAGTCGTTGCTCTTGCACTCAATTGCCAGCTGCTAAAGATCATCGATTTAGGTGGCTGCTTAAGTATTACTGATGTGTCCTTACATGCATTAGGAAAAAACTGCCCATTTTTGCAGTGTGTCGACTTTTCAGCTACTCAGGTAAATGACATATAGGCTACAAACATATAGACTATGTGTTTACCAAATGTATTTTCATGACTAATGAGAACATATCATAAGGAGTTCATTTTGTTTTTGTTGAAACTATTGACCACTTCATGCTTTTTGTGGTTAAGTAATTGAGATATATATTGGCATATTCCTCTCAATTAAGTAGCAAGGGTGAAAGGTATATATGGCTAAAACACATGTTTGATGAATGGGAGGCATTAAGACTATATCTAAATAATGAATACATTTTGGAAAATTCTACTTCCGTTGTCTGGATTCATGGACTGTGTTTCTTTTTCCCTTTGCTTAGGTATCTGACAGTGGTGTGATTGCACTTGTTAGTGGACCTTGTGCGAAGAAATTAGAGGTAATTTTAAAACAATTATAAAGATGGTGGTGATTAAATTTTTATATTCTTAGAAATTATGTTTAAAACCTAGCGGATAACCAATGCTTTATCAATTACGTATTTTAGGGACTTTGTTGGTGGGTGTTCTATCTCTTTATTGCCAGAGTAAATAAAAATTGTTAGGATATAAAATAAAGGTGCTTTAAAATAAAAACTCATTTTACTTCCAATAAAAGGCCTTATTTCCCCGAAGTTTTAGCTTCTAACAGATTTAAGAATCATCTTATTATGGATGAAGATTATGAATGTTTATCAGTGTAAAGTGATATTATTTATAATAGGATTTCAGGTCTTAATGATATTTCTACCAGGAGTATTAATTCTCTTGACATCCTGTCATCCTATTTTTCTTGATAGCCACATTGTACGATCATTTAAAAAAGTTTTTTTTTTTTTTTGAGACGGAGTCTCCCACTGTTGCCCAGGCTGGAGTGCAGTGGCATAATCTCGGCTCACTGGAACCTCCACCTCCCAGGTTCAAGCACTTCTCGTGCCTCAGCCTCCCAAGCAGCTAGGATTACAGATGTGTGCCACCGACTAATTTTTGTATTTTTAGTAGAGACGGGGTTTCACCGTGTTGGCCAGGCTGGTCTCGAACTCCCGACCTCAGGTGATCCGACCGCCTCGGCCTCTCATAGTACTGGGATTACAGGAGTGAGCCACTGCACCCGGCCTAAAAAAGATCTTAAATTTGTGTTCATCCTTTGAATTGAATCACTAATGCACTTGTAACCTATTTCTAAATATATTAAGAAGCCTTTTATCCCAGGATTTTGGTTTCTGTCTTCCCCAGTTGACAAGTGGTTTAATATAACTATGCTATTTAACAGTAAGCTACATCAAATCCTTTTTGGAAGTAGGCAGGCTGTAAATTAATTATAAAAATGTTAGTAAAAATAACTATTTTAATAGGGCACAGTGGTGCATTCCTGTAGTCCCAGCTACTCAGGGAGGCTGAGGCAGGAGGATCCCTTGAACCCAAGAGTTGGAGTCCAGCCTGGCAACATAGTGAGAACTTATATCTTAAATAAATAAATACTTTTTTATTTTAATTTTAATTAATTAATTTATTTATTTATTTTGAGACGGAGTCTTGCTCTGTCGCCCAGGCTGGAGTGCAGTGGTGTGATCTCAGCTCACTGCAACTTCCATGTCCCAAGTTCAAGCGATTCTCCAGCCTCAGTCTCCTGAGTAGCTGGGACTGCAGGCATGTGCCACCACATCCAGCTAATTTTTATATTAGAGACAGGGTTTTGCCATGTTGGCTAGGCTGGTCTCAGACTTCTGACCTCAGGTGATCCGCCCCCCTCGACCTCCCAAAGTGCTGGGATTGCAGGTGTGAGCCACCGTGCCCTGCCATAAATACATTTTTTAAAAAGCCAACTATTGTAATGGAATGACAATGCCACGTTTTTGCCAAAATATTTATCCTTGAGTTATTGCCCAAAGAGATTCTTTTTTGTGATTTTATATATCTGGGTCTTGGTAGCATATATATTTTTTAAATATTTTATTAAGAAATTACCATATTAGGTTGGGCATGGTGGCTCACGCCTATAATCCCAGCACTTTGGGAGGCCGAGACAGGTGGATCACCTGAGGCCAGGAGTTCAAGACCAGCCTGGCCAACATGGAGAAACCCCATCTCTACTAAAAATACAAAAAATTAGCTGGGCATGGTGGCAGGTACCTGTAATCCCAGCTACTTGGGAGCCTGAGATAGGAGAATCACTTGAACCTGGGAGGTGGGAGGTTGCAGTGAGCCGAGACTGCGCTATTGCATTCCAGCCTGGGCAACAAGAGCGAAACTCCATCTCAAAAAAAAAAAAAAGAAAGAAAGAAAGAAATTACTATATTTATTATTATACCAAGTTTTGAATTCCAAATTGCATCCTAAATGCAGGAACAGTAATTTTTGGTATTTTAAGTGCAAACATTTGTCGAGCACTTACTGTTATGCCAGGCTGTATACTAACTGCCTTATATTCACTAGGTTATGTAATGCTTACAACATTATCTTGTAATTACTATAATTTTAAATAAAGTTCTCAGTTAAATTAGTTTATCACCTTCAAATAAAACCACCAAGAAATTAGTTGTTATGCATGATAGTAAATATACTGACCTATTTACCTCAACATTATAAAATTAAGAGCACCAACCTAAGTAGAATGAGAAAAAAATGCAATAACCAGTGTGTTGGTGATTATAGTGCCATATCATTACATTTTTTATTTTTTCAGTTTTCCAAAGATTATTCCAAAGTGCCAAAACATTTTAATGGAAATGTCTCTAAAATTTATTAGAACTTAATGCCTTACTTAAACAAAGTAGGGTGAATATACTTTTTAAAAAAATTGTTTTGTTTTGTTTTGTTTTGTAGAGACAGGGTCTTTTTATGTTGCCCAGGCTGGTCTCAAACTCCTGGCCTCAGTGATCCTCCTGTCTTGACTTCCTAAAGTGCTAGAACTATAGGTGTGAGCCACATGCTTGGCCTGAGTGAATATACTTTAACCTTTGGTTTATAGCATCCTCTGACTCAAACTGAAGGACAAACTTAAATTTTGTTTTTTGAGACAGGGTCTTGTTCTGTCACCCAGGGTGGAGTACAGTGGCACAATCATGGCTTACAGCAGCCTTGACTGCCCTGGCTCAAGCAATCCTCCCACCTCAGCTTCCTAAATAGCTGGGGCTACAGGTATGTGCCCCCACTCCTGGCTACTTTTTTATTTTTTGTAGAGATGGGTCTTGCCATGTTGCCCAGGATGATCTTGAACTCCTGGACTCAAGCAGTTCTCCTGCCTTGGCTTCCCAAAGTGCTGGAATTACAGGTATAAGCCACCATGTCTGGCCTTAATTTTTTTTTTTTTTTTTTTGAGACAGAGTTTCGCTCTTGTGGCCCAGGCTGGAGTGCAATAGTGTGATCTCAGCTCACTGCAACCTCCGTCTCCCAGGTACAAGCAATTCTTCTGCCTCAGCCTCCCAAGTAGCTGGGATTATAGGCAGCTGCCACCATGCCCAGCTAATTTTTGTATTTTTAGTAGAGCCAGGGTTTCACCATGTTGGCCAGGCTGGTCTCAAACACCTGATTTCAGGTGATCCACCCTCCTTGGCCCCCCAAAGTGCTGGGATTACAGGTGTGAGCCACCGCACCCAGCCCTAATTTTTTTTTTTTTTTACTAACTACTCTCATAGGTAATGCGGAGGCCTACCTTTCATCACATTTTAATCTGTTGCTTTTAATTTGTTCCATTCTGGGAAATTAAATTATTAATGTTGCTAAATTATTTATAATTTGGAAATCAATTTGATTAAAGGTCTAAGGACCTTTCCTAAAGATTGACAAGAGGCTGAATGTGGTGGCTCACTTCTGTAATTTCAGCACTTTGGGAGGCTAAAGCAAGTGGATCCCTTGAGCTCAGGATTTCAAGAACATCCTGGGCAACACAGTGAAACCTTGTCTCTATGAAAAATACAGGCTGGGTGCGGTGGCTCACACCTGTAATCCCAGCACTTTGGGAGGCTGAGGTGGGCAGATCACCTGAGGTTGGGAGTTTGAGACCAGCCTGACCAACATGGAGAAACCCCGTCTCTACTAAAAATACAAAATTAGCTGGGTGTGGTGGCGCATGCCTGTAATCCCAACTACTTAGGAGGCTGAGGCAGGAGAATTGCTTGAACCCAAGAGGCAGAGGTTGTGGTGAGCTGAGATCACACCATTGCACTCCACCCTGGGCAACAAGAGCAAAACTCCATCTAAAAAAAAAAAGAAAAAAGAAAAATACAAACATTGGCTGGACATGGTGGCTTACGCCTGTAATCCCAGCACTTTGGGAGGCCGAGGCAGGTGGATCACATGAAGCTGGGAGTTCAGAGACGAGCCTGACCAACATGGAGAAACCTCATCTCTACTAAAAATACAAAATTAGCTGGGCATGGTGGTGCATGCCTGTAATCCCAGCTACTCAGGAGGCTGAGGCTTGAACCTGGGAGGTGGAGGATGCAGTGAGCTAAGATCACGCAATTGCACTCCAGCCTGGGCAACAAGAGCGAAACTCCATCTCAAAAAAAAAATTAACCAGAGGTGGTGGTGCATGCCTGTACTCCCAGCTGCTCAGGAGTCTGGAGTGGGGAGATCAATTGATCTCCTTCAACTTGGGAGGTTGAAGCTACGGTGAACTGTGTTTGCACTACTGCACTCCAGCTTGGGGAACAGAGTGAGACCGTGTCTCAAAAAAATTATAAAATTAAAGAAAAAAAGATCAACAAGCACTTAGTACAAACTTATGTTACAGCATTTAGCAAATATCATGATCGTTTCTGAAATCTCTGTTGATCATTGTGTTCATCATTTTGTTCATTTTATCCTCAGCTTTTAATACAATTCTAGATATGTGGTAGTACCTCAATAAATGTTATCACATTCTTAGCCTTATATTACAGTCATTTCATAAGTTTCTTTAATCCTTATAATTAAAATTTAATTTGCTGTATAAAATTTCATTTATTAATAAATATTTATTAAGCATTTACTGTTCTAGATCCTGGCATATCAGAGAACAGACTGTCCGTATAATGTAACATACTTGTTTTTTATTGTTGGTAATTCAGATTGTTTCTGGTTTTTAGCTATTAGAAATAATTATATATTGGGACAGTCACTTTTCCTTCCGTTGCTATAATGAATTCCCAAAAATGGAACAAATGGATTAATAGGTATGAATATTTTTTTAACAGTCCTAAATTGTTTTCCATAAAAGTTATGCTATGAGTATGCAATTTCAGTAAGACCCTAATCTGCCAGAAATATTTTCTTTTTTTTAATGCCTTAATTTAATATGTTTTTTTTCGTTTGTTTTTTTTTTTTGAGACAGAGTCTCACTTTGTCACTCAGGCTGGTATGCAGTGATCTCGGCTCACTGCAACCTCCACCTCCCGGGTTCAAGCGATTCTTCTGCCTCAGCTTCCCAAGTAGCTGGGACTACAGGTGCACACCACCACGCCCAGCTAATTTTTGTATTTTTAGTAGAGACAGGGTTTCACTATGTTGGCCAGGCTGGTCTCGAACTCCTGACCTCAGGTGATCTGCCCGCCTTGGCCTCCCAAAGTGCTGGATTTGTTCTTTTTCTAAAATAATGTTACAGCTGGGTGCAGTGGCTCACACCTGTAATCCCAACACTTTGAGAGGCTGAGGCGGGTGGATCACTTGAGGTCAGAGTTTGAGGCCAGCCTGACCAACATGGTGAAACCCTGTCTCTACTAAAAATACAAAAATTAGCCAGGCATATTTGCACATGCCTGTAATCCCAGCTACTTGGGAGGCTGAGGCAGAAAAATCACTTGAGCCCTGGAGGCAGAGGTTGCAATGAGCCAAGACTGCTCCATTGCACTCCAGCCTGGGCAACAAGAATGAAACTCTGTCTCAAAAAAATAAATAAAGTAAAATAAAATAAAATAATGTTACATCTAAAGCCCCGCTCAATTATTCTCCCTTTCTGCCTTCAGAAGTAACCACTATCCTAAATATGATTATGTATCTCTCCTTGCATGTTTGGATACCTTTTCTTTTTTTTCTTCCTGTGGACCCTGCTCAGACAGAAATGGATACTTTTTCTATTATGTACAAATCTATAAATAAGATATAGCCTTGTTTTATATGCTTTCAAATTTTACATAATAGCTTCATAATATATGTCCCTTTACAATTTGTTATTCAAAATTATGTTTTCTGAAATTTTTCAGGTATAATTGAGGTATAATTTACATACAAGAAAATTCACTCATATTATGTGCATAGTTGGATAAATTTTGGTAATTGTTATACAGCCATATAACCACCACCACAATTGATGTATAGAACATTTTCATCACCCTAAAAAGTTGTCTGTGTTCTCTGTGGTTTTATTTTGTTTTTTTGTCTCTGGTCCTTTGTAGTTGATCCCCTTCTGTGACCCTCTCTTAGGCAACCACTGATTTACTTTGTCATTGTTTTGGCTTTTCTATAATTGTATATAAATTCAATTTTATATACATATAATTTTATATAATGGAATTCTGCAGAATATAATATACTATTTTGGTTTTTATTTCTTTATTTTACTTCCTTCACTTAGCATAGTGTTTGTGAGATTGATCCATGTTATTGCATATGTTAATATTTCATTCCTTTTTTTTTTTTTTTGAGACGGAGTCTTGCTCTATCACCCAGGCTGGAGTGCAGTGGCATGATCTCGGCTCACTGCAACCTCCATCTCCCAGGTTCAAGTGATTCTCCTGCCTCAGCCTCCCAAGTAGTGGGGACTACAGGCATGTTCCACCATGCCCAGCTAATTTTTTTGTATTTTTAGTAGAGACGGGGGGTTTCACCATGTTAGCCAGGATGGTCTCGGTCTCCTGACCTCATGATCCACCCACCCTGGCCTCCCAAAGTGCTGGGATTACAGGCATGAGCCACCACACTCAGCCCCTTTTTATTGCTAAGTAGTGTTCCATAGTATGGATATGCCATAATTTATTTATAATTTTACCATTTGATGCAAAGATAAATAGCTGGGAATTAAATGTAAACAGCTTTTGCACAGCAAAAGGAATAGTCAGCAGAGTAAACAGATAACCCACAGAATGGGAGAAAATCTTCACAATCTATACATCTGACAAAGGACTAATATCCAGAATCTAGAACAAACTCAAACAAATTAGCAAGAAAAAAGCAAACAGTCCCATCAAACAGTGGGCTAAGGACATGAATAGACAATTCTCAAAAGAAGATATACAAATGGCCAACAAACATGAAAAAATGCTCAACATCATTTGTGATTACGGAAATGCAAAGCAAAACCACAATGCGATACCACCTGACTCCTGCAAGAATGGCCATAATAAAAAAAATAAAAAAATAATAGATGTTGGTGTGGATGTGGTGAACAGGGAACACTTCTACACTGCTGGTGGGAATGTAAACTAGTACAACCACTATTGAAAACAGTGTGGAAATTCTTTAAATAACTAAAAGTAGAAGTACCATTTGATCCAGCAATCCCACTACTGGGTGTCTACCCAGAGAAAAAAGTCATTATACGAAAAAGATACTTGTACACACATGTTTATAGCAGCACAATTTGCAATTGCAAAAATGTGGAACCAATGCAAATGCCCATCAATCAACGAGTGGATACAGAAACTGTGGTATATGTATACAATGGAATACTACTCAGCCATAAAAAGGAATGAATTAATGGCATTCACAGCAACCTGGATGGGATTGGAGATTATTCTTCTAAGTGAAGTAACTCAGGAATGGAAAGGCAAACATCATACGTTCTCACTCATAAGTAGGAGCTAAATTATGAGGATGCAAATGCATAAGAATGACATAATGGACTTTGGGGACTCAGGGGGAAAGGGTGGGAAGGAGGTGAGGGGTAAAAGACTAAAAATCGGGTTCAGTGTATACTGCTTGGTTGATGGTTGCACCAAAATCTCACAAATGACCACTAAAGAACTTACTTATGTAACCAAATACCACCTGTTCCCCAAAAATCTATGGAAATTTTTAAAAAATTTAAAAATAATTTTATCATTTGATGGACATTTGGGTTCCAATTTTGGACTGCTGCAGACATTTGCATACAAACCTCTGTGTAGACATATGTTTTTATTTTTCTTGGGTAAATGCCTACGAGTGAAATTGCTGGGTCATATAGCAAATACATGTTTAGCTTTATAAGATACTACCATACTGTTTGCCAAAGGGTCTGAACTAACATGTTTGAGATTTATGTCTATTAATACAAGTAGATATTTTTCATTTTAGCTGTTTTCTATAAAGCATTGATTTTCCCGTTCTCCACTTTTTTTACTATTACAAGTAATACTGCAAAGGGCATATTTATAAATTGTTTCCTTGTGCACATGTAGAAGAGATTCTCTGTAGATCAACAATTGGAATTGCTGAGTTCTGGGGCATACTCATCTTCAGCTTTAATAGCTATTACACATTACTTTATAAAATGGTTGGGCATTTAACTTTTTAAGCTGCTCCTTCCAAATTACTTCAGACTTATATTGGTCTTTTCTATATACTTTTTTTTTGCAAGTAGATATCTGGTTCTTTTTGTATCAGAATGTTTCTCAAAATTGTTCATACTGTTATTATAGATCTTTGTTTTCATTTGACTTTATTTTCTTTATTTTTGCATAGGAGATTCATATGGGACATTGTGTAAATCTGACTGATGGGGCTGTCGAAGCTGTCCTTACTTACTGTCCTCAAATACGTATATTACTCTTCCATGGATGCCCCTTGATAACAGGTTAGTGCAATAGATTGCTTGGGTTCAAATTCTGGCTTCATCTTTTACTGTGTGACCTTGAGTACATTACTTAACCCATTTCATTATTCAGTTTCCTCATCTGTAAAACAGGCATAATGAGAGTACCTACCTCATAGACTTAGTCATGATTATCTGACAATTCTTTATTTTATTTTATTTTATTTTAATTTTTTGGGAGACGGAGTCTTGCTCTGTCACCCAAGCTGGAGTGCAATGGTGCAATCTCAGCTCACTGCAACCTCCACCTCCTGGGTTAAAGCAATTCTCCTGCCTCAGCCTCCTGAGTAGCTGGGACTACAGGTGCACGCCACCATGCCAGGCTAATTTTTTTTGTATTTTTAGCAGAGACGGGATTTCCCCGTGTTGCCCAGGCTGGTCTCTAACTCCTGAGCTCAGGCAATCCGCCTGCCTTGGCCTCCCAAAGTGCTAGGATTACAGACGTTAGCTGCCGCGCCCGGCCTCTGACAATTCCTTATGTGGTGGCCTTGCACATAGTAAGAGCTCAATAAATGTTAGTCATGATAACGATAAATGAAGGTGGTAATGGTGGCCAGTGCTCAATAAATGTTACCTATGAAGAAGATTATGATGGCAGCAGTAGTTGTGTTCATGATATTGAACATGATGCTTTATGTAAACAATAAGAAAATTTCAAGTTTATAATATTACATCTATCAAATACACTAAATGACTTGTTAACTATTATCAAACTGTAGACATTAGGATCAGAATAGCCGGGCGTGGTGGCTCATGCCTATAATCCCATTACTTTGGGAGGCCAAGGCGGGTGGATCACCTGAGGTTGGGAGTTCGAGACCAGCCTGACCAACATGAAGATACCCCATCTCTACTAAAATTACAAAATTAGCCAGGTGTGGTGGTGCGCACCTGTAATCCCAGCTACTCGGGAGATTGAGGACGGAGAATCACTTGAACTCGGGAGGTGGAGGTTGCAGTGAGCTGAGATCACGCCATTGCATTCCAGCCTGGGCAACAAGAGCGAAACTCCGTCTCAAACAAACAAACAAAAAGTCAGAAAAATTTGGACTCTTAGGCTAATGTGGCTCTTCACTGGAGGAGAACAAAACAGCAGTAGCCCATTTTGCCTGTATAAGAGCCATGGTATATATCCTCCTACCCTAGAAACCATGGCACCCTTTCATATTACCCCTATAATAGGTCCACACCGTAATATAAACTGGATCTAACTTGTAAATCAGTAGTTATGCCCAGTCCTTCCAGCTCATTTTTCTTATTACAGTCTAAATAATTATTCCAATTATTCTTTTTTTTTTTTTTGAGACAGAATCTCGCTCTGTCACCCGCCGAGGCTGGAGTGCAGTGGTGCAATCTTGGCTCACTGCAACCTCTGCCTTCCAGGTTCAAGTGATTCTCCTGCCTCAGCCTCCCAAGTAGCTGGGACTACAGGCGCATGCCACCACATCCAACTAATTTTTGTATTTTTAGTAGAGACGGGGTATCACCATACTGGTCAGGCCAGGCTCCTGACCTCATGATCCACCCACCCCAGCCTCCCAAAGTGCTGGGATCACAGGCGTGAGCCACCATGCCCAGCCAGTCTAAACAATTATTCTGTAGGTTAAGCTATTATCCTGGAAGTCCCTTTGACAACTTCTCTTTTATTTTTAGGAAGTCCCTTTGACAACTTCTCTTTTTTATTTTTAGGTTGCCAGCCTTAACCAAGGCTGTAACCATAGATTGTATCTGGGTATCAGTGACATCTGTAGTGAAGATTAGATCTTTATGCAAAGACATTTCTTAAGAAACTAGAGCCAGTAAGGACACTGGTGGCCGGGTGCAGTGGTTTATGCCTGTAATCCCAGCACTGTGGGAGGCTAAGGTGGGTGGATCACTTAAGCCTGGGAGGTCGAAGCTGCAGTGAGCCATGATCACCCCACTGCACCCCAGTCTGGGTAACAGAGTGAGACCCTGTGTCAAAAAAAGAAAAAGAAAAAAGAAAAAAAGAAACTGTTAACTGGGGTTAGCTGCACAGAAAGTTGTGAAGGAACAAGAGTAGGAAAAAAAATGTCATTGTATACCCTTTTGTATCTTTTGAATTTTATATCATGTGGATTATTTTTAAACTATTAAAAATTAATTGGTTGGACGTGGTGGCTGTCAGCACACAGATGATCCCTGACTTAAAATGATCAATTTACAGTTTTTCGACTTTACAATGGTGCAAAAGCCATATGCATTCAGTAGAAGCCATACTTCAAGAACCTGTGCAAGCATTTTTTTCACTTTCAGTATAATATTCAATAGATTACATGAGACAGTCAACACTTTATTAAAAAATAGGCTTTGTGTCGGAAAATTTTGCCCATCTGTAGGCTAATTTAAGTGTTCTGAGCATGTAGGCTAGGCTAAGCTATGTTGTTCAGTAAGTTAGGTATATTGAACACATTTTCGACTTTGTGTATTTTCGACTTATGAGTTTGTCAGGGTGTAACCCCATCATAAATTGAGAAGCATCTGTAGAGAGAAGCAATAAATACCAATTTTCTTTTTTCTTTTTTTGAGGCAGAATCTCACTCTGTCACCCAGGCTGGAGTGCAGAGGCATGATCTTGGCTCACTGCAACCTCCACCTCCTGGGTTCAAGTGCTTCTCCTGCCTCAGCCTCCCAAGTAGCTGGGATTACAGGCTTGCACCACCCTACCCAGCTAATTTTTGTATTTTAGTAGAGACAGGGTTTCACCATGTTGGCCAGGCTGGTCTTGAACTCCTGACCTCAGGTGATCCACCTGGCTCAGTCTCCCAAAGTGCTGGGATTACAGGCATGAATCACCATGCCTGGCCTAAATACCAGTTTTCAAGTCTGGAAAATATACTGGAGTGGTTAATCAGATTTTCAAACCAAGGAGTCTTTTGAGATAAATTATGTCATTATGGAGATCACTAGTAACCAAAGATATGTTAACAGATCATGGATTTAAGATAAATGCCTAGTTGATGTGATTTCAGACACCAGGAAAGCTTAATGACACTAAATGATTAATGAGTGCAATGAGCTTAATCACACTAAATGATTGCAATGAGCTGAGATCACGTCATTGCACTCCAGCTTGGGCAACAAGAGTGAAACTCCGTTTCCAAAAAAAAAAAAATAATAACAAATGCGGTTGAGCATTCCTTTTTTCTTTCTTTCTTTCTTTTTTTTTTGATAATGAGTCTTGCTCTGTCGCCCAGGCTGGAGTGCAGTGGTGCAATCTTGACTCACTGCAACCTCCGCCTCCCAGGTTCAAGTGATTCTCCTGCCTCAGCCTCCCAAGTAGCTGGGATTACAGACGCCCGCCACCAGGTCTGGCTAATTTTTGTATTTTTAGTAGAAATGGTGTTTCACCATGTTGGCCAGGCTGTTGTCGAACTCCTGACCTCAGGTGATCTGCCCGCCTTGGCCTCCCAAAGTTCTGGGATTACAAGCGTGAGCTACCACGCCCAGCTGTTTGAGCGTTCTATAGTGGAAAAAATGTGAAAGTCATGGTATTAACTAAATTTTCATTTAAGAGTGTGGGAAGAATGATCCTTCAATGGACAGCTTTGGAGGGACCAAGGGAGACAAAAGTAGAATTGCTGTTAATGTTGAACCTTAAGAGCCATCTTTGTTCAACATACAAATTAAAATACCATTATAGGCCAGGCGAAGTGGCTCACGCCTGTAATCCCAACACTTTGGGAGGCTGAGGTGGGCAGACCACTTGAGGTCAGGAGTTCAAGACCAACCTGGCCAACATGGTGAAACCCTGTGTCTACTAAAAATACAAAAATTAGTTGAGTGTGGGGCTGGGTGCCTGTAATCCCAGCTACTTGGGAGGCTGAGGCAGGAGAATAGCTTGAACCTGGAAGGCAGAGGTTACAGTGAGCCAAGATCTCCGCACTGCACTCCAGCCTGGGCAAGAGTGGGCAGGACTCTATCTCAAAAAAAAAAAAATAATAATTATGGAAAACAAAATTTATAAAAATCTAAAAGATATGTGATATAAATGTAACTCACTTAAGAAGCATCTTAGATTTTGTATTCCCCGTATGTTTCAGAGCAATTCTATTGGTTTTACCTTCGTATTTTTATGTTGGTGATGAGAAAACACTTAACCATTTGTAGGTTTCAGTAATTGAAATAATACTTTCTGGTAGTATTTTTCAAATAGACCCCAGGACCCATTTACATTCTTAAAAATTATTGAGGATCCCAGGCCGGGCGCGGTGGCTCACGCCGGTAATCCCAGCACTTTGCGAGGCCAAGGCAGGTGGATCACAAGGTCAGGAGATCGAGATCATCCTGGCTAACACGGTGAAACCCTGTCCGTACTAAAAATACAAAAAAATTAGCCGGGCATGGTGGCGGGCGCCTGTAGTCCCAGCTATTCAGGAGGCTGAGGCAGGAGAATGGCATGAACTTGGGAGGCCGAGCTTGCAGTGAGCCAAGATCGCACAACGGCACTCCAGCCTGGGCAATAGAGTGAGACTCCATCTCAAAAAAAAAAAAAAAATCACTGAGGATCCCCAAAGAGTTTTTGTTTATGTATATTTGTTAAATTAAAATTTCTATTAAAACAGATAAATTTTAATAGACATTCATTTTTTAAAAATCGTAAATCTATTACCTAGAAAAGAGATATATTTTCATTCAGATCATCACTTTTCAGATCATTGTGGATACTCTTCTTTGATACCCCAAAACTCAGCAAGTGGTAATTTCTTATGGGTTGTTGCAATGTGGAACTTGAAAACATATCAATGAACTTTGCGTACATTTTGTTATGATGCACTTTTCATACATTTGTGTTATGATGCACTAGTCTGTCTTGAATTTTGAGTTGATCTTTACCAATGCATGATTTTGTAACATCATGCATTGGCAGTTCGGAAAATATTGGTTCTCTGAGTTATATAGATCTTTTAAATATTGACACATTTTATTATCCAAAACAAAAATCAGTTGTTAACATAATAACTGATGTCATTAGAAAGGTCCTGGATAGCTTTCAAGATCACAGTGGCAGCTACGAGGCTTCCAAAATTCACTTGAAAGCTAAAGCTTTATCACTGACAACAAATTCTGTCATTTGTTTTCTTTGAAATGACAGCCTCATTTCTTCTATTTTCATGAAATAGTCTGCCAAGTACTCAAATAAGAATAACCTTACACTGTAGTCATTGTATTAGTCCGTTTTCACACTGCTGATACAGACATACCCAAGACTGGGTAACTTATAAAGAAAAAGAGGTTTAATGGACTCACAGTTCCACGTGGCTGGGGAAGCCTCACAATCATGGCTGAAGGCGAAAGGCACGTCTTACAGGGTGGCAGGCAAGAGAGAATGAGAGCCAAGAGAAGGGGTTTCCCCTTTTAAAACCATCAGATCTCATGAGACTTATTTACTATCATAAGAACAGCACAGGAAAGACTTGCCCCCATGATTCAATTACCTCCCACCGGGTCCCTCTCACGACACATGGGAATTGTGGGAGCTACAATTCAAGATGAGATTTGGGTGGCGACACAGTCAAACCATATCAATCATTCTTTTAAAAAGTAAAAATGGTGTTCCATGAGAAAAGTAACTAGTTCAGTTCACAACCCTGAAAGGGTCTCAGACTACAGAATATGCAGACTACACTTTGGGAACCACTGCTTTATGGTAAAGAAAAATTATCAGTCAACTTCAACATTTGCAGCAAGAATAGCATATCATTTTCTGGCCAGGTGTGGTAGCTCACGCCTGTAGTCCTGCACTTTGGGAGGCCAAGGCAGGCAGATCACTTGAGATTAGGAGTTTGAGACCAGCCTGGCCAATATGGTGAAACCCCCTCTCTACTAAAAATACAAAAATTAGCTGGGCATGGTGGCGCACGCCTGTAATCCCAGCTACTCTGATGGCTGACGCATGAGGATCACTTGAGCCTGGGGGGCAGAGGTTGCAATTAGCCAAGATTGTGCCACTGCACTCCAGCCTGAGTGACAAGGTGAGACACTGTCTCAAAAAAAAAAAAAAAAAGAATAGCATACCCCTTTCAAATCACTTCTTATATTTTTGTGTGGCTGCCAGAAGTAGTGGAAGTAGACATTGAAATGGCAGGAGTTCAAAATATTTGGAATAAAAATATTTTTGATCTGGAAGATCACAGTTGGTAAATGCTGGACTAGGTGTTACCGTTACATGATCTAAAAATGACCTTTGGGGCCCTGTGTTGTTTACTTCTTCACAGCAACCAGGACTGTTAGCTCAAAAGCCCATCATCACCAAATCAAATGTTTACACATCCAATTGTTTAAGTATAGCCTAAATAACCAAATTATTAGCCATCTATCTAGAGCCCACCTGCTTTACATACCCTGCAAACTACACTCAACGTCTACTATCCATAGATAAAAACCCCAGGCTATAAAAGACCCCAAATCACTGCTGCCCTTTGGAGCTCTGTAACCCAGAGACACCCCCCCACCCGCCCCGCCGATCTTGCTGCTAAACAACGTCATGACACATACACCCTCTCTCTAGTCCTCCAGGAATTCTCTTACCCTCCCCCTTCTGAGTAGTGGCCGCCCTACACTGTCGCTGCCTTTGGAAGGTCTCATGCTGTGAGGGACTTCCCGGCATACAAACCTGTCAAAGCGCTGTCCAAAGAGAGCTTGTTGTGTCCCACTGCCACCTTGTGGTCACATCTTTTTCTTTGTTCTGCCCTGAAATCCTTCAGATTCACTGCAGTTACATGGTGTGCCATAACATAAAACAAAAAGTGTTTATATGTCCAAAAAGTTTGTGAAGGGCAACATGCCACTATTATGAATGTTAATTTGTCAAAGGCTCTGAGAAATACTATAGCTAAGAAACTGTTTAACTTCGTTTGTCCAAGCATTTCCAAATTTCTAGCACAGAACACTTTTTTGATTACCCTAGCCAACTCCATCACATTTTAAAATGTTATTTTTCTGATCCCTGATTTCACAGAATAGGAAAGTGAGATATTGAAATGTTATTTGTGTCAGGGTGCGGTGGCTCATGCCTGTAATCCCAGCACTTTGGGAGGCCAAGGTGGGTGGATCGCTTGAATGCAGGAGTTTGACACCAGCCTGGGCAACATAGAGAAACCCTGCTTCTATAAAAAATTGTTTTAATTAGCTGGGCATGGTGGTGCACACCTATAGTCCCAGCTACTCGGGAGGCTGAGGTGGGAGGATCGCTTGAGGCCCCAGGGGTTTGAAATCAGCCTGCACAACATTAACTGAGACTTGCTGTCTAATAAAATAATAATAGTGCTAAGACTAAAACTAAAATCTTAAGATACAGTAAAACGAACGCTGATCCCATCCACGCCATCTCTCCAGAACATCGAATAAATCACTTAACTCTTATGGATCTCGACTTTGCCTTGTGCATAATGGCCAATTATCATAACATTGAGAGATCTAATATTAATAATAATGCAAGAGGCCGGGCATGGTGGCTCACGCCTGTAATCCCAGAACTTTGGGAGGCCGAGGCAGGTGGATCACCTGAGGTCAGGACTATGAGACCAGCCTGACCAACATGGTGAAACCCTGTCTCTACTAAAAATACAAAAATTAGCCAGGCATGATGATGTATGCCTGTAATTCCAGCTACTCAGGAGGCTAAGGCAGGAGAATTGCTTGAACGCAGGAGGCAGAGGTTGCAGTGAGCCAAGGTCATGCCACTATACTCCAGCCTGAGCAACAAGAGCGAAACTTCGTCTCAAAAAAAATAAATAAAAATAATAATGCAAGAGTTCATACAATATATTCTACCTTGAGTCATCACATCAAAAAAAATAAATTTTTTAAATAGTTCATATAAAATGGCTTTTATTAATAAACTAAAGAGAAAAAAGCTGAAGAAATTTTAACTACCCAGATCACTTCTACTCTTCCCACTTAACCATCAGTACCCCTAAATCTTCTATAATGATATATTTTTGCTAACATCATTGAATGGAAGTAAAGTGGGCTAACATGTTCACCTTATATTTGATTTTTAATTTCTTCTTTTTCCAAGGAAGATAAATGCTGGTTGTGTTTGTGGGGGTTTTTTGTTTGATACATGGAAGGCCTTTCTTCTTTCGTGACACCTTATATAACATGATTCCTCTTATATATTCATATGGTTGCTCACATATGAGTATTTAAGACCATAAAATTTATATTATATAGAAAGTATTTACTATACTTGCATATGCATGTGCAATTATAATATTGTTACCCTCAAAGCAACCTGACTCCCAGATTAGCACTGCTCACTGTAATTTCCCATCAGATCTCCTGAATTAACCTATTTTCTCGACTATGTTTCTAAGTATTTATAAAATTTCTTAACCTTAGTTAGAATAAAACATAACTTCACATTATGAATTAGGACTTGAAACTGTTAGAAGTACTCTGAGTTGGTTTCTGCAGAAGAGATAAAAACTAAGCTGCTATTAGAAATATGAAAATTATGGTTTTGGCTGTGTATGGTGGCTCACGCCTGTAATCCCAGCCCTGTGGGGGGGCCGAGGCAGGCGGATCACCTGAGGTCAGGAGTTTGAGACCAGCTTGGCCAACATGGTGAAACCCCGTCTCTACTAAAAATACAGAAATGAGTCGGGCGTGGTGACGGGTGCCTATAATCCCAGGTATTTGGGAGGCTGAGACAGGAGAATTGCTTGAACCCGGGAGGCGGAGGTTGCAGTGAGCCAAGATCACACCACTACACTCCAGCCTGGGCAACAAAGAGCAAAACTCCATCTCAAAAGAAAAGAAAAGAAAAGAAAATTATAGTTTTATAGATGTTACAACAGCATGAAAATAATTTTTAAACTTACTAAATCTTTTTTTTTTTTTTGAGATGGAGTTTCACTCTTTGTTGCCGCCTGGAGTGTAGTGGTGCGATCTTGGTTCACTGCAACCTCCACCTCCCGGGTGCAAGCGATTCTCCTGTCTCAGCCTCCTGAGTTGGGATCACAAGCGGGTGCCACCACACCCGGCTAATTTTTTGTATTTTTAGTAGAGACAGGGTTTCACCATTTTGGCCAGCCTAGTCTCGAACTCCTGACCTCAGGTGATCTGCCCACCTCAGCCTCCCAAAGTACTGAGATTACAGGTGTGAGCCACCAAGCCTGTCCTAAAACTTACTAAAGCATTTTAATTCAATTAGGTCTTCAATGATTATCAGTAAGTTCACCTCACATACCTTTGCTAATCTCCTACAGCAGACATGCATTGCCGTTTCTCATAGTTATCTAAGCATGTTTGACAGTATTCAAAGACATGGAGGATTTTAGAAGGGCAATAAAGCAGTTAGAGAGTCCTTATGTTTTACCCTGAGAGGCAGGAGAATCCAACAGGAAATCTGCCGCTTTCAATTTAGTCGACTTGAATTTTAATCTTATCTGAGGATTTGTTTTAACCTGATTTAAAGGCAAGTTCTTTTTTTTGAAATGGAGTCTCACTCTGTTGCCCAGGCTGGAGTGCAGTGGCACCATCTCAGTTTACTGCAACCTCCGCCTCCCAGGTTCAAGCGATTCTCCTGCCTCAGCCTCCTGAATAGCTGGGATTAAAGGTGTGTGCCACCATGCCTGGCTAATTTTTTTGTATTTTTTTAGTAGAGATAGGGTTTCACCATGTTGACCAGGCTGGTCTTGAACTCCTGACCTCAGGTGAGCCACCTGCCTCGGCCTCCCAAAGTGCTGGGATTACAGGTGTGAGCCACCACACCCAGCCAGCAAGTTCTTTACTTAGATTCTGGATAATGTAGATGTCAGGATTTACCACAAAGAGCCAAAACAGTATTTTAAATTTTTATTTATTTATTTATTTATAAATAGAGACGGGGTTTCGCCATGTTGGTCAGACTGTCTCGAACTCTTGGGCTCAAGAGATCCACCCACGTTGGCCTCTCAAAGTGCTGGGATTACAGGCGTGAGCTGCCATGCCCAGCCAAAACAGTATTTTAAGACCCAAGTGGTTTGCTTCAGGGTTTCCCTTTAATTAAAGCTGGTTCCTTGCTTAAAGGAGAACTCATTTTTTTATTTCATATTTGTCTTAATCCTGTATTATTCTGTTTCCTCATTATTCATTCATTCATTACTAATCCTACATGACATGTTTATTTTTGCCAGATCACTGTAATGAAACATTAGGACTTTGATCATTATTTGTAAAAATGTGTTCAGCCATACTTTTTTCACTGTGTGTTCTCTAAAAATGTCTAAATTACATTTCCTTTGAACATTTGAAAAAAATACTTTGTTAAAAGTTTGTATTCTTTGGCCGGGCACGGTGGTGGCTCACGCCTGTAATCCCAGCACTTTGGGAGGCCAAGGTGGGCGGATCATAAGGTCAGGAGTTCGAGACCAGCCTGGCCAATATGGTGAAACCCCATCTCTACTAAAAATACAAAAATTAGCCGGGTGTGGTGGTGGGCACCTGTAGTCCCAGCTACTCGGGAGACTGAGGCAGGAGAGTCACTTGAACCCAGGAGACGGAGGTTGCAGTGAGCTGAGATGACACCATTGCACTCCAGCCTAGGCGACAGGGTGAGACTCTGTCTCAACATAAAAAAAAAAAAAAAGTTTGTATTTCCCATAGTTTCTTCTTCTTCTTGGTGTTCCAAGTGCTCCTGCCATGAATCTTTCAAAAAATGCTCTCCATCTATATTGTCATAGATTTTTACAGAGGTGGTCAACAGTTCCTTAGAGGTTGGGAGGCAGAAAGGTATACCTTTCCTCACCCATCATAAGGGTCAAGGCTGACAGTCCTATACGAAAAGGGAGGTTAATAAGAGAAAGGCGTAACAGGTTTATTTGGTCAAAGATTTATAAGAGACTTCAGAAATGAAGAGCCAAACACCCAGGGAAAACTGCTTGTTTTTATGCTTATGAAGCATGGACAGCCATGTAGAGATGTGACTGGAAAAGAGAATGAACTAATAGTAAGAGTGGAGAAACCCAGCAAGGCCTGTTCAGATTCTTCTTGGCCTTTCTGTGTGACCTTCCTTTTTCCAGGGTATAGGGCGGGGCCACTCTGGAATGAGGGCCTTATGATCTCCTATCTGACAAGGGTACATCAGAGAATTTCTTTATGGCCAGCTCCTAGGCAGAAAGGCTGGGGAAGTTTAGAGTAATATTTGTAGGTTTTATGTCTTCCTTTGGGGAAAAGGGTTCTAGTTTCTGTGACCCACCTTGGGGAAGAGGAATCCTGGTTTCTGTGACTCACTTGCGGAGAATGAAGGGTAAGAGATAGGAGGGCAGGAGAAGGTCAGAGACCTTGGTTCTGAGGTGGATTCTGAGGCCTTCCAATGTCCTTTAGTTCAAAGTACTCAGCATGCCAAAGTGCCATACTTTGGGGAATCCTTTTCTGAGCCCCAACAAGGTCATCTATACAACTCCCTCATTTTAAAGATAAGGGAACAGAGATACAATTGATTTAAGTGGCTTGCCCCACATCTTAGAAATAGTTGATAGAACTGGAAGTAAAACCTAAGTCATCTGAACCACAATCTATAATTCCTTCCTGAGCCTTTAATGTAAAGTGGCTTAACTGTTACTAGGATAGAGAAACAAATAGGAAGGTGACATCAAGCATCAGTCGGGTGATTAGCATAAATGACCCGTTAGCCCTTTTTCAGTCTGGAGAGTATGTGATTCTTTTTCTTTTTCTTTTTTTTGAGACGGAGTCTCGCTCAGTCACCCAGGCTGGAGTGCAGTGGCGCGATCTCGGCTCACTGCAAGCTCCGCCTCCCAGGTTCACGCCATTCTCCTGCCTCAGCCTCCCGAGTAGTTGGGACTACAGGTGCACGCCACTACGCCCAGCTAATTTTTTTGTATTTTTTAGTAGAGGCGGGGTTTCACCATGTTAGCCAGGATAGTCTCGATCTCCTGACCTCGTGATCCGCCCGTCTCGTCCTCCCAAAGTGCTGGGATTACAGGTGTGAGCCGCCGCGCCCGGCCAAGAGAGTATGTGTTTCTATAAAATGTTCTGCCAAGAGATTATGAAATACTTAGCGACCCCATAGTTTTTCCCTGTAGCATAATAAAGGCATTGAATATTCTTATTTAAACCCACAGTCCTAAATACTCTATCTTCATGGGAAGAAGCTGCCTAAGGAGACTGTAATATAACACTGCCATCTGGCATCAAAAATTTTTAATTACATAAAAATGTTACATGCTTACTATTGGAGGGAAAAGCATCTTCCTATAATGTGCAATAGTGAATTCAAAACAGAATAGTGACAAATGTAGACAGAAGACAAATTTTATATATGTTTGATAACATATTCACAACTTGGAAAAATGCCAAAATGATTGTAGACACACCAGCTAAAATGAAATTGGGAAGTGTTGGCCAGGCGCGGTGGCTCACACCTGTAATTGCAGCACTTTGGGAGGCCAAGGCGGGCAGATCACGAGGTCAGGAGATCGAGACCATCCTGGCTAACATGGTGAAACCCCATCTCTACTAAAAATACAAAAAAATTAGCTGGGGGGGCCAAATTCTGGCTAATTTTTGCATTTTTAGTAGAGACGGGGTTTCGCCATGTTGCCCAGGCTAGTCTCAAACTCCTGAACTCAAGCGATCCACCTGCCTTGGCCTCCCAAAGTGCTGAGATTACAGGTGTGAGCCACCTTACCAGGCCCCATCTTATTGATTTCTGCAAAAAATAAAAAGCCAGCTTGTATTTTGATATGAATTTCATTGAATCTATAGGTAATTTGGGAAATATTGCTATCTTAATAATATTAAGCCTTCTGGTTTGGATTTCTTTATTTAGGTCTTTAATTTCTTTCAATAAAGTCTTATAGTTTTCAGAGTATAAGTTTTTCACTTTCATTTGATTTATTCCTAAGTATTCTATTCTTTTTGATGGTAACATAAATGGAGTTATTTTCTAGTTCATTTTTGGATTATTCATTGTTGATGTATAGAAATACATTTGATTTTTATATATTGTTCTTGTACCTTGCTGAACTCATTTATTCTATTTTTTTAGTGAATTCCTTGGGATATTGTATACACAGTATAACATCTACAAATAGATAGTTTTACTTCTTCCTTCTAACCTGAATGCCTTTTCTTTTTCTTGCCTAATTTCCATGGCTGGAACCTCTGGTACATGCCATTTCTATGTTGGATAGAAATGGCAAGAGTGGACATCCTGGCGGGTAACGGTGGCTCACGCCTGTAACCCCAGCACTTTGGGAGGCCAAGGCAGGTGGATCAGGTCTCAAACTGCTGAGGTCAGGAGTTCAAGACCAGCCTGGCCAGCATGGTTAAACCCCGTCTCCACTAAAAATACAAAAAATTAGCTGGGCGTGGTTGCGGGCGCCTGTAATCCCAGCTACTCGGGAGGCTGAGGCAGGAGAATCACTTGAGCCTGGAAGCCAGGGTTGCAGTGAGCCAAGATCACATCATTGAACTCCAGCCTGGGCAAAGGGTGAGACTCTGTCTCAAAAAAAAAAAAAAGTGTGGATATCCTTGTCTTGATCCTAGGGAGAAAACATTTAATTTTTCACTATTAGCTATAGGTTTTTCTTGTTTGTTTTTGAGACAGGGTCTTGCTCTGTTGCTCAGGCTGGAGTGCAGTGGTGTGAACACACTCACTGCAACCTCTGCCTCCCAGGCTCAATTGGATCCTCCTACCTCAGCCTCCCAAGTAATTGGGACTACAGGCATGTGCCACCACACTCAGCTAATTTTTAAATTTCTTTCGCAGAGACAGGGTCTCACTATATTTCCCAGGCTGGTCTTGAACTCCTGGGCTCAAGTGATCCTCCCGCCTTGGCCTCCCAAAATGCTGGGATTACAGACATGAGCCACTGCATCCTGCCATCTATGGGTTTTTCATAGACGCCCTTTATCAGGTTGAGGAAGTTATCTTCTATTCCTAGTTGGTTGAATGAGCATTGGTTTTTGTCAACTGGTGTTTCTTTTTTTTTTTTTTTGACACTGGGTCTTGCTGTGTTGCCCAGGCTGGAGTACAGTGGCACCATCTCAGCTCACTGCAATCTCTGCCTCCTGGATTCAAGCGATTCCCCTGCCTCGGTCTCCTGAGTAGCTGGGATTACAAGCACCCACCACCATGCATGGCTAATTTTTTTTTTTGTATTTTTAGTAGAGACGGGGTTTTCCCATCTTAGCCAGGCTGGTCTTGAACTCTTGACCTCAGGTGATCCGCCCTCAGCCTCCCAAAGTGCTGGAATTACAGGCATGAGCCACCGTACCCAGCCAATTGGTGTTTCTTTGTCTATTGAGATGATCATGTGGTTTTAGTTCTTTGTTCTATTAGAATGGTGTAGGTGGTAAGCTGAATAATGCTCTCACCCACCCAATGATATCCACGTTCTAATGCCCAAAATGTGAGTATGTTATGTTACATAAGGTTGCCAATGGAATTAAAGTTGCTAATCAGTTGATTTTTAAGTAGGGAGATCATTCTGTATTATCTATGTAGGCCCAAAATAATCATAAGGGTCCTTAAAAGTAGAAGGAGAGAGGACCATAGAGATGGCAGCTTGAGAAGGACTGTGCTCAATGATGCCCACTTTTTTTTTTTTTTGAGATGGAGTCTCACTCTGTCACCCAGGCAAGAGTACGATGGCATGGTCTTGGCTTACTGCAATCTCCGCCTCCCTGGTTCAAGCAATTCTCCCACCTCAGCCTCCCAGGTAGCTGGGACTACAGGTGCATGCCACAGTGCTCGGCTAATTTTTGTATTTTTAGTAGAGATGGGGGTTTCACTATGTTGGCCAGGCTGGTCTCAAACTCCTGACCTCATGATCTGCCCGCCTCAGCCTCCCAAAGTGCTGGGATTGCAGGCGTGAGCCACCGCACCCAGCCCAATGTTGTTCACTTTAAATAAGCAGGAAGGAATGCAAGGAATGTGGTAGTTTCTAGAAGCTAGAAAAGTAAAGGAAGTAGATTCCCCTGTAGAGCCTCCAAAAAAAAAAAAAGATAAGACTTTCCTCTAAAAAGTAACGCAGACCTGCCCACACCTGATTTTAGCCCAGTGAGACCCATTTTGGAATTCTGACCTTCAAAACTGTACAATAACAAATTTGTTGCTTTAAGCCACTAAATTTGTGGTAATTTGTTACAGCAGCAATAGGACATTAACACAGTATATTATACTAATTGATTTTCAGATGTTAAAGTAACCTTGCATTCCTATGATAAATCTCAGTTGGTCATGGTATGTAATCCTTTCTTCTAGTGGCTGGATTTGGTGTGCTGGTGTTTTGTTGAGCATTTTTTAGTCTACATTAATAAAAGATCCTTGTCTGCAGTTTTCTTTTTCATGTGATGTCTTTGTCTGGCTTTGGTATCAGGGTAACACTGGCCTCACAGAAAGAGTTGGAAAGTGTTTCCCCCTTCTTCTATAGCCACCCAGCTTTGTCATGGTTGCCATTTAAATGGTATGTCTTTGTCCATTCTTTTACTTTCAACATAATTTGAATCTATCTTTGATTGAGATTTCCTCTACAATAACCAATAATATTTTTATGACCATGAATAAAACTGCATTTATCTTACTAGCTGCTTTTTTAAAAAATTGTAAACCTTTGTTTTCCCAATGATAATAACTTTTCATTTCTATACACTCTCTGGTTCTCTTGCTGGCAATAAACCTTGGTATTTTTGCTTAATTTTGTTAAACTTAAAATAAAATTTTGTCACTGTATATGTTGGGCCCATCTTTTTTTTTTTTTCTACTGGTCTGTGAAATCTGTCTAGGAACCACCAAATTACAGGATTTCCAAGACTAGGTTAGAGATATGTTGTACATAAAACATAGGTTGTATCTATGGAAACAAGTTTATTAAACTTATGAGTAATATTTAAACTAACAAAATTTTATCAGTATTTTTGCTTTAATTCAGATTTTTAAAAGACATCCTAAAACTAGGATGGAAACCATATCAAAATCACGACTGTACATTGTGAAAAACTGAAAACATCTAAATGTCCAATAATATAGATTGGTTAAATTACAGTGTATTTATATAATGGTTATCTATTTAAAATCATGCTTTATAGTAGTATTATACAGACATGGAAAAATGTTCAGCTACAGGTCAACTTGTCACGTTCGGTGACTACTACCTCCTTTAACCCTTTGGGTGTGTTGCAGCTTCCCAAGGTGGTTTACCGTACCTATTGGCTTTCTTTAATCCTACTTTTTTGGTAAATATTCCCTTCATTAAATGCTGTTCAGTCACCCCACTTTAGTGAATCATCTATTTCCGGCTAAGATCCTGAAAAAAGTTATTAACCATTAACACAGGTTAATGGTGAAATTAGACCATTACTCTGGTTGGTGGAATTATGATGAAATTACAGAGAAAACAACAAATGCCTGTTTTTTTTTTTTAAACAAGTAATACCATGATAGGTGCACTACACCTAATAATAGTGAGGGCTACCATTAATTAATTATTAGTGAGTTAGTTGTATATTGTGCTTTATAGATCACCTCCTTTAATCCTTTAAATAACTGTATAATAATTAACATCACCTCCAGTTAGACATGAGGAAACATTAAACATTTTTTATTGTCAATTAATATATTGTCATTGTTTTCTTTTATAGATCATTCCCGAGAAGTGTTGGAGCAATTAGTAGGCCCAAACAAACTAAAGCAAGTGACATGGACTGTTTATTGATGCTTTTTTGAAGATGATCAATGCTAGGAAAGCTTATCAAAACTACTTTCCCAGGAAACCATCTATAGAGATTTGCATTCTACTTAATGTTAACACTATTTTTAATTATTTTATTGTCTTAAGTTATAACTCTCAGAGAATTAGCTAAGTCTTGGTATATACATGGTTTGTGCTTTACTCTTAAACATCTTTAAAGTGCTATTATTCTATATCTGTTGGATGAGTCATTATTTTTGAAATGATAATCCTAGCATGAACTCTGATCTATGGTGTTGGATTCTGTTTCTTAAATAACTTTAAAATTAACTGTTTTCCCTTGAGATTTCCTTCTCCTATGTAGGTATTTGAGCTATTGTTCTAAGTTTACCTGTAAGTATAAACCTTGGGAGAATCTAAGTAAACATATTTCTAAAAGCATAGTTACCTTCCTATTTTCTGGCTCTTACCTTCTTGGAGTATTTAAATGCCCATTTGCCAAAAGCAGACCTGAACATCAAGCCTGTTAATTCTTCAAAGAATTTAGGTATTTGTTTCACCGAAATGAAGTGACTTATTAGCCATTCAGCGTATTAGTATTACAGAGGCTCTTGCCCAGCCACATCCATTCATTGATTTTTATGGCTACTCTTCCCAGTTACATTTTATGCATCTGTAAGCTTTCCTTCCTTAGCAAAATTGCATTCAAAAATGTGTAAAAATGAGTAAATACAGAATATCACTACAGAGACTTGTATCCTCAGGTTTATTGATTTCACATTGTGAAATAAACAGCAAAGGTCTTAGTTTTCAAGTGAAAACTTTTTGGTAATCACAAAATTACCTGACACATACCACGCTTAAACCAACCCCCAAATTTAGCATATTCATTTTGCCATGAGCCAGTCTTGAGATTTTCTTAAAAGATTTCTTATTTTGCCTCTGATGTAGTGAAAAACGGGGTAAGTATGCTAACTTTCTTGTATATGTTGGGGGGTACTTATTCAACTCCATTTCTTGTCCTTACAAGATTTATAAATGTGGTATGTTTATAGTGTGGATATATATGTTGCCACTGCAAAGGTGGTGCATATGTATATATGTGCAAAATGGGTAAGGCCTGTTCTAACTATGAAATTTTTCTAAAGACAAATTCAATAAAATTTAATACTGAATATTTAACCAAGTCAATCACATTTTCCCCTTTTTGCAGAAACTAGTTTCGACATCTAAATTGTGAGCTTCTTTGGGTCTATGAAGGATTTATCTTCCTAAAACAGTTTGCAGTTTGATATTTCTCCTTTTTTATGTTGCTAGCTGTATTAACTATTTCTCACCACTCTGTTTAAAATATCTGTACCCCATCCAGTACCCAGTATTCCCTATTACCCTTACTTCTTTTTCTCCTTACTACCTATCACCATCTGATGCCTGTTTTCATTTGTTCATTATGTCTCCCTACTCTAGAATACAAATTTCATAAGGACAAAGTATTTATCTTTTTTTTTCATTGCTGTATCCCCATATCCCCAGTGCCTAGAACAGTGCCTGGTATATAATAAGCACTCAAATATTCATTGAATAAGTAAATATGGAAAGAAATAAAGGAGGAAAGAAAGAAATACCCAGTAATACCCAGCCTGGCCAATGTAGCAAGACTCCATGTCTACAAAAAATACAAAATAAAAAAACTAGCCAGGCATCATGGTGGTGCATGCCTACAGTCCTAGCTACTAAGGAGGCTGAAGTGGGAGGATTACCTGAGCCTAGAAAGTCGAGGCTGCAGTGAGCACGGTCGCATTGCTGAACTCCAGCCTGGATGAGAGAGCAAGACCTGTCTAAAAACAAACAAAACAAAACACCCAACAACAACAACAAAAATTTCCAGTCTCTAGTCTGATTTATATTTTCTAATATAAAGAGATTGGAAGTCATCATTCCCATCCTCACAATAAGAAAAAAGCTCAATAAACTGAAAAGTCAACAACACTTAGATCCATTAGAGAATTAAGGTTAAAGAGAGAATGCCTCACAAATTAGAAACGCAAATACAAAGAACCATAGCTTACAGGGAGCAGAAGCCTGTTGCTGGAGCCAGTACCAATAGGAACATTTATGCTGTAATTCCTGAGTTGCTGGAGGCTCCATGTGGATGGACTTAAGAATCAAAAGCTCCAGCCTGGCACAGTGGCTCACACGTGTAATCCCAGCACTTGGGGAGGCTGAGGCAGGTGGATCACCTGAGGTCAGGAGTTCGAGACCAGCCTGGCCAACATGGCGAAGCCCTGTCTTTACTAAAAATACAAAAATTAGCTGGGCATGGTGGTGCATGCCTGTAATCCCAGCTGGGTTTGGTGGTGTATACCTGTAATCCCAGCTACTCAGGAGGCTGAGGCAGGAGAATCACTTTAACCCAGGAGGTGGAGGTTGCAGTGAGCCAAGATCACGCCATTGCACTCCAGCCTGGGCAATAAGAGTGAAACTCTGCCTCAAAAAAAAAAAAAAAAGAATCAAAAGCTCTAGGAATCTGTCCATAAACGTTATCTAACCAGGTGTGGCAACCCTGCAGTCACTCTGAACCTATTCTGCTTTTGGGAGCTGCCCAATTCACAGATTGTTCTTTGCTCAATTAAACTTTGTTAAATTAAAACAAACAAACTCCAGGGGGCCCACTCCTAGGGGAGACACCACACTTTCATAGTTTTACCTCCAGGATACCTACCAGGTTCTCAGGGTGAGGATCAGAGAAAAATCCCCTCTTCTGGTATGAGGATAGGGAAAGTAACCATTTTGAAATATGCCCAAGTGTTCAGTTCTCCTTAACAAAAGCCAGTTCTCAAGGGAAACTATTTTACCAGAGCCTCGTTGACCTGGGGGAAAGGAAGCACCCAACTCCAGCTGCCTCTAGCCTTCCTGTCTCACCAAAGTGACAAAAGAAAAGCTGAAAGCACTTGTGAAGGTCACAGCAGGGGCACAGGCTGACTTAACTGACTGAGACTTAATCACAGGACTATAGAACATACCTTCTCCCATACCTTATCACATCAGTTAGGCTACTGTATAATAACAGGGAATTACAGGTGAAAAAAACTGCAAGCTTCAGACTCTATATAAGAAGGAATCTCTAGGGAAACTCAAAGATAACAGAGGAGACAATAGCCAGGACACTAGAGGAAAATTTAGCCTGTAATATCTACTCTACAGCAAACAGTAGCCCTACCCAGATTTTAAAACCTCATGCTACCTTAGTTTACTTGTTTATTTATGCAATACATCATGTCTAGCTATCAACAAAAAATTACAAGGCATGCTAAAAGACAAAAAAACAGTCTGAAAAGAAAACAAGCATCAGAACCAGACTCAGTTATGGCAGACATTTTAGAATTACCAGATCATAAATTTAAAATAACTGATTAACATGCAAAGGGCTCTAATGCGAAAAGCATACAACACGCAAGAATGATGGGTGACGTAAGCAGAGATAGAAGCTATAAGAAAAAATCAAAAGGAAGTGATAGAAGTAAAAAACATCGTCAGGCTGGCGTGGTGGCTCACACCTGTAATCCTAGCACTTTGGGAGGCCAAGGCGGGTGGATCACCTGAGGTCAGGAGTTTGAGACCGGCCTGGCCAACATGGCAAAACCCCGTCTCTACTAAAAATACAAAAATTAGCCAGGCATGGTGGTGCACACCTAAAATCCCAGCTACTCTGGAGGCTGAGACAGGACAATCGCTTGATTGGGGGAGGTGGAGGCTACAGTGAGCCGAGACATGAGTCACTGCACTCCAGCCTGGACGACAGAGCTGAGACTCCATCTCAAAAAAAAAAAAAAGCCCAGAGTTCAAGGCTGCAGTGCCCAATGATTAAGCCTCTGAATAGCCACTGCATTCCAGCCTGGGAGCAAAGTGAGACTGTCTCTA
Organism: Homo sapiens; assembly: GCF_000001405.40. Taxonomy (NCBI): domain Eukaryota; kingdom Metazoa; phylum Chordata; class Mammalia; order Primates; family Hominidae; genus Homo; species Homo sapiens. The sequence goes on along the minus strand of NC_000012.12, from coordinate 31,668,406 downwards.
AAAAAAGAAAAAATATATATATAGTCTTCTTCTGTTTTGTTTTGTTTGTTTAATTCAAAGTTACATCACAGTTGTCCTCGACTACAGAAACAGATCCAGCTACAATGTTTAATTCTTCTCCATTACTTAAATTAAATGCTGCCACCATTGAGTATGGCATTGTATAATCATATTCCTTCAGCGGTTAAAATAGAAAAAAAAATGCAGATAGAGATGTGTATAATTGGCATGCATAGAAATACAGAACCAGTTACATGACAAAAGTAAACAAAACTCTAAACCTTCATATTTTAAAAACAAGATTTTCCATTTAACAAGAATTACATTCATTAAACTGGAGAGTATCTCCTATAGAGAAAACTTTTAGAGTCAGATCCAAACATTACTATATTCATACTTGGAAGCACTTTGACAACTCAAGGCTGAAAACCCCACACTGTGCTTGTTGTCAGTCCACTGTTTTCCTGCCTAGTAGACTCCAAAAGTGAATATTCTACCACTTTGTGCAGGTGATGCTGAATGCTGTGTCCACTGAACTGGGGCCGCCCAGGGTCACCAATCAGTACTCGAGTTCTATAGGTCCAGAAGCACTTCTTCAGCCACTGATGAAGACTATCTGCAAGGTCTTCATCATAAAACATATCGCCAAGAACAACAAGGTCCCACTTATCTTGTTCCAAATTCAAAATGTTTTGGATTAAAATAGGAAAAGGATTCAGTCTGTTCAATTCACAATTTAGTGTAATAGCCATTCCTGCAACTTAAAAAAAAAAAAAGCACAAAATGAATTGGTATATGCTAGGCTGTTATAATTCCATGTTGATTAAATAATTTAGAAGATCTGCTAACAATATATTTTTCTTCCTTTTTGATGAAAGTTGTTTTTTAAAGTAGAGAAGTATAAAGGTTATCCCAATATAAGCTATACCACAATTTCCAAATACATGACTGGATATCCTGAAAACAAACAATTCAAAACACCTAGAAATGCTGGGACTTTTAGGAATATTTGCTGATTTCATTAACCAAAAGATTTTGTTTTTTTACTGTGGACAGGGAAACGAGACTTGGGCTTGATTGAGCATGGCAATAAATTAGAACTGAGACCCCTTGGCTGGGCGCAGTGGCTCACGCCTATAATCCCAGTACTTTGGGAGGCCGAGGCGGGTGGATCACCTGAGGTCAGGAGTTCAAGACCAGCCTGGCCAACATGGTCAAACCCTGTCTCTAATAAAAATACAAAAATTAGCTGGGCATGGTGGTGCATGCCTGTAATCCCAGCTACTCGGGAGGCTGAGGCAGGAGAATCACTTGAACCCACGAGGTGGAGGTTGCAGTGAGCCAAGACCGTGCCACTGCACTCCAGCCTGGGCAATAGAGTGAGACTCTGTATCAAAAAAAAAAAAAGAAAAAAAAAGAACTGAGACTCCTTTATAAAATAAAGGTTTTCAGCCAGGCGCGGTGGCTCATGCCTGTAATCCTAGCACTTTGGGAGGCCAAGACGGGCAGATCACGAGGTCAGGAGATTGAGACCATCCTGAATAACACGGTGAAACCCCATCTCTACTAAAAATGCAAAAAAAAAAAAATTAGCCAGGCATGGTGGCAGGCACCTATAGTCCCAGCTACTCAGGAGGCTGAGGCAGGAGAATGGTGTGAACCCGGGAGGCGGAGCTTGCAGTGAGCTGAGATTGTGCTACTGCACTCCAGCCTGGGTGACAGAGGGAGACTCTGTCTCAAAATAAATAAATAAATAAAATAAAATAAAGGTTTTCAAGGACTATATTCTCAGTGAAAGGGTAGACCAGAAGAAAATCAGATCAAATAAAAACTTACCTGTCTCAGCCTGGGTTCTAATGGAATAAAAATAACCCTCAAAGACAGGTCAATACTCACTTGGGTTTGGGGTCAAATAAACACTATTTACATATTTCAGGAAATTCCTAGCCCATAAATTAACATAAGTGCTTACTCTGGATGTCTGGCAGACACAAATCCTCTTGGGAAAAATGCACCATCTACTCAGACCTCAGGGGATTCCTACAGATAATGTCCCAGTGCACAGAGATTCACAATGTCCAATCACAAAATACATATAACGATAAGCTACCACACTGAGCATGTGTACATATTTATCCCAGAGAAAAAAAAAAGATGAGCCTTAAATATTTTAAAATATGAATCCTTACTAGGGTCTATGTCATTGGCCAAGATCCTTGATGCCCCACTCATCTTAGCAGCAATAGCTGTAGCTCCACATCCACTCCCAAGATCTAATACAGATTTTCCTCTGACAACATCAGGATTATCCAAAAGATACCTAAATTAAAAAGGAGAAACATGTCTCAGAGAGATGAGGAAAAATAAATGTTGGGAACAGGCCCCCCAAAATCTGGCCATAAACTGGCCCCAAAACTGGCTATAAACAAAATCTCTGCAGCACTGTGACATGTTCATGATGGCCATAACACCCACGCTGGAAGGCTGTGGGTTTACCGGAATGAGGGCAAGGAACACCTGGCCTGCCCAGGGCAGAGAACTGCTTAAAGGCGTTCTTAAACCACAAACAATAGCATGGGCGATCTGTGCCTTAAGGACATGCTCCTGCTGCAGATAACTAACCCAACCCATCCCTTTATTTCAGCCCATCCCTTCATTTCCCATAAGGGATACTTTTAGTTAATCTAATATCTATAGAAACAATGCTAATGACTGGCTTGCTGTTAATAAACATGTGGGTAAATCTCTGTTCGGGGCTCTCAGGTCTGAAGGCTGTGAGACGCCTGATTTCCCACTTCACACCTCTACATTTCTGTGTGTGTATCTTTAATTCCTCTAGTGTCACTGGGTTAGGGTCTCCCCAGCCGAGCTGGTCTCAGCAAATAAGAGGTATGCAAAAAAA